>NC_000004.12:117860774-118012290 GCF_000001405.40 Homo sapiens
ATAAAAGAATTTTAACTACACATAACAATCAATGAACAAGATGGATCTCGTACATATAGCGTAAAATGAAAAACAGCTGACAGGAAAGATTACACACTTTATTATTTAACTTATGTAAAGCTAAAGGGAAATCAGTTTCTGACACTATAACCCCACAGTGATGACTCCTTATGGAAGCAGTGACTGGAAAATGCACGAAAGGGGCTTTTAAGGTTCTAAAAATGTGAGATATACTTTTTCTTAACCTGGATGATAGTTTACTTTTGAAAAATTTATGAATTTGTGCACTAATGACTTGTGCACAATATATGTATATTATTCTTCCATAAAAGCTTACTTAAACATTAGTGTAATGATTCTGTTTACTTCTGTGTATCTCATAAACAGATATGTCTGAATGTTTCATGAGGAATCTGTAGAGATATACCAGTTCCTGTGACTTTATTTGTAAGTAATTTTTCAGCTTCTGAAAGAGAACATGAAGATAAATTTGGGGGTGGCTGTCAAGATCTCTAAATAGTATACAGTTTTAATAACACCATCAAATTAAAAAGCAATCAAAAATTGTTTGTGCGGCTGGGCGCAGTGGCTCACACCTGTAATCCCAGCACTTTGGGAGGCCAAGGCGGGCAGATCACTTGAGGTCTGGAGTTTGAGGCCAGCCTGACCAACATGGCAAAACACCATCTCTACTAAAAATAAATTAGCCAGGCATGGTGGCGTGTGCCTGTGATCCCAGCTACTCGGGAGGCTGAGGCAGGAGAATCTGTTGAACCCAGGAGGCAGAGGTTGCAGTGAGTTAAGATTGTGCCACTGCACTCCAGCCTGAGCGACAGAGCAAGACTCCATCTCAAACAAAACAAAACAAAAAAAAAGTATGTGTGTGTGTGTATAAATTCCAAGTCAATAAGAAATAGATTTTCAAGAGAAAAAAAATAGAAAAATACTATAAAGGAGCAATTTATTAATGTAAATAAACTCAAAATATAATTTCTGAAATAAGTAAATACCATTTCTAATCTACCAGTTGCAAAGTTGGCTTAAATGAATATTAACCAGTGTTAATCAGACTGTGGGCAAACAGGTATGCTCCACCTTTACTGCTGGCAATGTAAATTATTCGACTTGTTTGAAGAATAGCTTGCATATTATTAACCTAGCAATTCAAATTCTGAAAATTTATAATATAATCAGAGCCATATTTTAAGAAGCATATAATATATGCATATTACTGACATCAATAGTTGAAAATACTAGAAAATATCATAGAGAACATATTACCTTCTCAGTAGCTGATACAAACTTTCCTTTGTAGGGAGAGAGTCAACTTTGTTGAAAAGATGCAACTGAAATGAAAGAGTAGAGACATTTTTGTCATGTGAATATTCATTTGACCACACACAAGTTATTGAAAATATTATTTTTAAGCTTAATATCCAGAATATGTGTACTCCATTTAAATACTGGTAGAGAATTTATAAGCTACTGATATGCGTTATACAGAAAAGAAAAACATTTTCCTGAAAATCTCTTGGAAAGTTAAGAAGAGTGGAGTTGAAACAAAACGATACAATAAAAATACTTTATTAATATCTTCAAGGAATTTTTCAGTTTCATTAATCTTGCTTTGTTTAGCATAAGTTAATAATTGACCTAGTTTTAAACAATAATATTAAAAGCTTTGAAATTTTAAGACCATCCTTTCTACCTACATCCCTACTCAGCAGGGAACAGAAAGTCTATGAAAATCTCTCCCATTGTTGTCACATTTGCAAATACATTTAAAAGCATTTTTACTATGCTGCAATAAAGCTGATATATGAGGGGGCCTTCAAAAAGTTCATGGAAAATGTGTATTATAAAAAAACAGGCTGGGTGCAGTGGCTCACACCTGTAATCCCAGCACTTTGGGAAGCCGTGGTGAGCAGATCACGAGGTCAGAAGATCGAGACCATCCTGGCTAACACGGTGAAACCCCATCTCTACTAAAAATACAAAAAATTAGCCAGGCATGGTGGCATGCTTCTGTATTCCCAGCTACTTGGAGGACTGAGGCAGGAGAATCGCTTGAACCCGGGAGGCGGAGGTTGCAGTGAGCTGAGATTGCGCCACTGCATTCCAGCCTGGGTGACGGAGAAAGACTGCATCTCAAAAAAAAAAAAACAAAAACAAAAACAAAAAAAAAACCCAGGGACCAGGCGCGGTGGCTCATGTCTGTAATCCCAGCACTTTGGGAAGCTGCGGCGGCCAGATCACCTGAGGTCGGGAGTTCCAGACCAGCCTGACAAACATAGAGAAACCCCGTCTCTACTAAAAATACAAAATTAGCTGGGCATGGTGGCGCATGCCCATAATCCCAGCTATTCTGGAGGCTGAGGCAGGAGAATCGCTTGAAGCCAGGAAGCAGAGGTTGTGGTGATCCAAGATCGTGCCATTGCACTCCAGCCTGGGCAAAAAGAGCAAAACTCCGTCTCAAAAAAACAAAAACAAAAACAAAAAAAAGTGCATAAATTTCAATTTTTTGCACCAAAATAACTTGTACAAGTTATTGTTATCACATTTCTGAACAGGATCTAGTTTGAAGCACTAAGAAGAAAAAGACATCAGTGTGAAAACAGCTTCTATCAGGGCAACAGGAATTCTGCTAAAATTGAAGCAAGAACAAACAGCATATTGATGATGAATCTTAAGTGAAAGAATGGTGAAATCCCTGATGCTTTACAAGAAGATTATTGGGACAATGCCCCCAAAGAAATCAGCAGTTTACAAATGAATAACTCATTTTTAGGAAGCGATGAGATAGTGTTGAAGAGGATGACTACAGCTACAGACCACCCACATCAATTTGTGAGGAAAAAAAATTAATTTTGGCTGTGCCCTAATTGAAAAGGACCAGTGTTAACAGCAGAAACAATAGCCATCACCATAGACATCTCAATTGGATCAGCTTACACAGTTCTGACTAAAAAAATTAAAGTTGCGTGAACTCCACTTGATGGATGCCAAAATCTTTGCACCCAGACCAGCTGCAGACAAGACCAGAGTTTTCAATGGAAATTTTAAAGAAGTGGACACCCAATAGTGGGATTGCTGGGTCAAATGGTAATTCTGTTTTTAGTTCTTTGAGATATCTCTAGACTGTTTTCCATAGAGGTTGAACTAATTTATATTCCCACCAATAGCACATAAGCATTCCCTTTTCTCTGCATCCACACCAACATGCGTTGTTTTTTGACTTTTAACAATAGCTGTTCTGAAGATGTAAGATGATATCTCAGTGAAGTTTTAATTTGCATTGCTCTGATGATTAGTGATGGTGAGCATTTTTTCATGTGTTTGTTGGCTACTTATATCTCTTCTTTTGAGATGCCTGTTCAATGCCTTGCCCAGTTTTTAATGGAGTTGTTTGTTTCTTGTTGAGTTGAGTTCCTTGTAGACTCTGGATATTGATCCTTCATCAGAAGGATAATTTGCAAATATTTTCTCCCATTATGCATGTTGTTTATTTACTCTGTTGATTATTTCTCTTGTTGTGAAGAAGCATTTTAGTTTAAATCCAATTTTCTATTTTTATATCAACTCAAAGGAAAACATTATATTATATTAAAAATACACATACATTTATATGTTTATCACAGCACTATTCGCAATAGCAAAGTCATGGAACCAACCTAAGTGTCGATCAACAGATAAGTGGATAAAGAAAATGTGGTATATAAACACCATGGAATACTATGCAGCCATTATAAAGAATGAAATCATGTTCTTTGCAGCAGTAAGGATAGAGCTGGACTCCATTATCCTAAGTAAACTAAGAAACAGAAAATCAAATGCCACATATCCTTACTTATAAGTGGGAGCTAAACAACGGATACACATGGATCCACTGGATCCATGGAAATAATAGAATAGTGTACCCATCAATATTTGGGTGATGGGTACACTAGAAGCCCAATCCCCGCTATAAAACAATATATACATGTAAAAAATACACACATGTACCCCGCTGAATTTAAATTTAAAAAAATAAACAAATGGGATCAAGATCCTGAAGTAGTTCTTTGAAGAATTGTAACAGTAGATGAAACATGGCTTTACCAATATGATCCTGAAGACAAAGCACAATCAAGGCGATGACTAACAAGAGATGGAAGTGGTGCAGTCAAAGCAAAAGCAGACCAGTCAAAAACAAAGGTCATGGCAATAGTTTTCTGTGATGCTCAAGGCATTTTGTTTGTTGACTTTATGGACGACCAAAGAACAGTAACATCTACTTGTTATAAGTGTTTGGAATTAGCCAAAGCTTTAGCAGAAAAATGCCCTAGAAAGCTTTGCTGGGAGTCCCTCTCCATCACCACAATGCACATGCTCATTTCTCTCATCAAACAAGGGCAATTTTGAGAGCGTTTTAAGGGGAAATCATTAGGCATTCACCTTACAGTCCTGAGTTGGCTCCTTCTGAGTTCTTTTTGTTTTCTAATATGAAAACAACTTTCAATGGGCCCTCATTTTTCTCTGTTAATAATGTAAAAAGGAGTCCATTGACATGTAGAATTCTCAGGACCCTCGGCTCTTTAGGAATGGAATAAATGACTGATATCATCACTACAAAAAGCATCTTGAACTTGATGGAGCTTATGTTGAGAAGTAAAGTTATATTTTTTTTATTTTTATCTTTTAATTTCAGTTTCCATGAACTTTTTGAAGTCCTCTTGTATTTAAACACACACACACACACAAACACAAACACACACATTGAGGCAGCTTCTGAAATATCTTTTAAAAAAACTGATATACGAAGATTCTCCCTAGATATAAAAGTAGAATATTTTCTGCATGTGTTAGAGGTTTTATGTTAGATATGGTATCATTAATTTAAATTTTCCAAGTTGTGTGTGAGTTGAAACTATAAAATAAAGTTTAAAAAACGCATTCTCCTTAGTATTTCCTTTAAGATATGTGTGTGAGGGAATAATATGTGAATCACTATCGCTAAGGAGTAATCATGTTGTGATGTACTGAAAAATCCAACTAATTATTCATAGCTCCAGTTTGTCAGAAAGTAACTTAAGAGGACTATTGTTAAATAGAACTGTTCAATCACTTATTGTCTTCACTGTAGAAGGCACGCTTGTACTGGCTGAGAAATAATTGAACAGATTGCCAGACACCGTAAGTGATGTCTTCAAAGGATGAACTCTAAGGATAAATTCTTTCACTCTTTCTCCTTCTAGGCCCCAGTTTCTTTATAAACCAAATATATGTATAAAGTACTTTCATCACTTATTTGCCAAAGATATTTTATTATTTATTCTATGAAATATTATTAAACACTCTGTTTATTATTAAACTGTATGTTGTAATGAAAAGGCATAGGCTCCCTTAGGATAAAATAATTTTCATGACAAACACAGTCAAGTTGAAAAAGAGAAATAGTCACTAAATCTATCTTATGCTAGTTTATAACTCTGACTAGAGACACAGTAAAGATAGACAAATGGTCACTAAATCTTGTTAACAAATTAATCACTCTCACCCAGTATGAATTGTCTTTCCTCCTAGGTTTTACCTTAACAGGATAGAGTGTTGGGTTCATAAATTTGATAAATCTTGTCCTGAAAGCAAATATCTGCCAAGATTTCAAGAAAATGTTATAAATGAAGTATATAAATAAGCAATACAAGTGTGCAAAAGTAGACAAAGATTAAAGATATGCATTTGTATTATGGATAATTTACACTAAAAATAGCTTGCTGGCCAAGTGAAAAAGAACACAAACATAACCCCACTGTTTTTTACTTTTTCTCAAGAAAGGTAATGAGCTACTAAATGTCACCAGAGTTCCACAGTGCCAATGTACTGAATTAATGAAAGCTGCTAGTTTGAAAGGGTAGTTATTTTACTAAGCAATTTGGAGAGCTCTATTTTTCATTCTCTTCCCTATTTTGAAATAAAACAAAATGAATTGATTGTTGTTCAGTACATTCTAGTTACAGCTTGTTATATTATTAATGACAGGAACACATTAAATCATTTCCTGATTGCATCAGAAGCTACAAAGAAAAGGATAGATTGAGCTCACGTTATTTTTCAAATATTGTAATGTTCTTGGCCCCTTGAGCCACATATTGATATTAAGATGTGATTTAAGCTTTCCTCTTTAGTTACAAAAAAAGAAGAAAACGGAAGAGTCTAGACTTTATTAAACTTCTCTACATTCAATCTCTTTCAAAACAGTTTGAAATTGAGCAACATTCTGTTTGTTAAAGATTTAGAACTCTTGAAACTTTTTTCATTAAGTCTAGCTTTCTCCCTTGAAAATAAATATAGATATTTCTTAAATTAAGAATCAAAATGTAATGCAGTCATGATTTGCTAAATATGACCATTTTTGTTGTTGGTGGTGGACAATGATCAATCACTAATCATTTACAAAACAGCATTAAATGCCAATGTTTCAATCCCTATATAAGGTATCATGAGAAAATATAAAGACAAAGATATAAAATATTAAAAATTTTTTAAATCTCAGAAGCTAGAAAGAAAAGAAATAGCAGATGTGTAGTTTGTATAAAGTATAACTCTTTTTATCTTTAGAAATAAATAATCTTCTACACAAAGCCAGCATTCTAAATTTTTTTTACTTCTTGGTATTTTAAATCTACTTTTATCTTTCAACTTTCCAAAGACATCTATTTTGTATGTGAATATTTATATTGGTGAATCTAGCTTCAATTATGAATACACTCAGGTAGCATTATGGAGATGCATAGAAGGATGAAACTTAAGCTTTCTCTCTTTCTCTTTTTCCCCTCTGTTCTGTTTTAGTTACTTTTTTACTTTATTAATGTATAAAAAAATTTAATTTTACTTAATCTGTCAGACAAGAGAGTAGCTTTGCACAAAAAGATCCTTTTCAGTAATTAAACTTAGTAGGAGTTTTAACCTGTATTACACGTCCCTGAGTTAAGGGATATTTTAAATGTCTACCGATATCTAAAGGGTTTTCCCAAGTGAAAAAAAAATGAGTGGGTATAAGCTAGAGAGGCAGTTTTATACAAAAAAATATGATTTTCTAATAAATTAAGCCTTTCAATAATGAAATAGACTATTTTGAAAAACTTCTCATTGTTGAGTTTATTAAGCAAAGGCACATTTGAAATATTTTAGCGAAAGAGTCAAGGACATCAGAGGTATCCTTAGGGAAAGGATAAGAGAGTTGAATGTCTTCTTTATCAAATCTAATTCTAATTCTAATTCTAATCTTAACAGATTTATAGAAAAGGCTCTTGAGTAGAATTTGGAATAAATAAAATAGTCAAGAAAATGTATCTTCTATAAAAGCTTATAACCAACTAAACAAATGAGCAAAAGGCAATAGAAAAGTAGAGCCACAGGATAAACACCCTACTATCCTTTGAAGAGATATGTAGTGAAGAGAAACTTGACATAAAGAATTTATTAAGAAGTAGCCAGTAAAAAATATGCATCCAGCAGGGACTCAAGATTAGATGAACGTACCAAAAAGAGATAAAATCCTTGCCCTTAAAGAAATGAACATGATCCTGAACAGGCACAGAAATGCCAGCATTGTTGCAGTTATGGTTGAGATTAACATGTGTTAGCCCAGAGGTTACATGTGCTATAACTCTTTCTTTAGAGTGAGTGCAATGGTCAGGGGTCAGTTTACTGACCTACCAACACATGCTATCAATAACTCAGAAAGAAAACAGATCAAAACCTCATCTGTGTTTTCTTATGTGCAATTGGTCATTATATCTACAACAGCTGGGAATTAGTTGTACTAACTGTGGCTGGAGTAAGCATGACAGTGACATCTTTCCTAGGACTAGTGTTAGTCTTCCCTCCTCCAAGACAGCCTTCTCCCCTCTACCTTTAGGAGTAAAACATGAACACTTTACATAGCCTGCCAAATAGGATCCTGTGTCTCTGAACACATCATTTGTCCTGTTTTTTTTGTCTCTCCTCTTGAGGTTCAACTCTTTGGAAGGATTTTTTAAAACATCTTACTAATGACATTAGGACTTAAAGAAGAGTAAACATGCTGCTGCATGCTGCATTTCACACCTGCATTATTGCATTTGCTAGGACCCCAAATTATAATAGTTATAACTACAAAACAAGAAAACCATTTCTATCCTATAGGGAGTTTATCAACATAGAATTTCAGGTCCTCTAAATGGTTTCTCATTAAATAGTAAATACAGCTAGCATGGTAAGTAGTAGGAAAACCTTACTGTCAGTATTTGAGAACAAAGCAAGGTTTTTTCACAACTATATGCAATATATTTAGTGTGAAAGGTTATCATAGAATATGGAAGAATATTATACTGACTGTTTTCCGCTTTTCAGAGTACCATCATCGACAGAAGCAAAAGTCCTTATCTGCTGAAATCTTTATTGACATACTTAAGTGGCGAAATAATATGTCAGGGTTTTACTTTAAAATACTTCAGGATCAAAAACAGAGGGAAAATAGAGAAAGGTAAATGAAACAAAAATTATTCACAGTGGTGATTGTTTAACCTGGGTAATGACAACCCATGAATTCATAGTACTATTCTCTCCACTCTGTATGTCTAAATGTTTCCATAATCAACAAATAAAAACAAAAAATAAACAAAATATTAATCTCTTTTTTTCTTTAATTCTCTCTCTTTTAGCTTACTCATTGGAATTCTAAGGACAGCTCCAGTTAACATGAAAGTAAAAATAAAAACCCAGAAAACCTTTTGGACAGATTACAACAAAGAAGAATTCTGATACCTCTTGTAGATTCATTTTCCACCCCAAAGATTAGGTAACAAAGGAGATGTGGGAGAGAAAGAAACAAAATGGGAGAGAAATTGAGATAAGAGAGGACCATGTGAAGGAGGTGAAGTATTTAAAGTGGAAAGGAGGAAAATAACCTGAACTCTTAACTGCTCTTGAAAGTTCACTCTGTCTTCACTCCAGCTCTATTGACTGATTACCTGTAGCCCACTTGCTATTCAACAGTCTTTATCAAAGACAGATCACTTGGATACTTTTGTATGAGTGGTGTCACAAAAAGACATCTTGAGCCACCAAATAAGGTGCAATATACAAACCAGAAGTCCCATTCAGCCCAGTATTTGTTCTCAAATGTCATAAATGCTGTGGACAAGAAACTTTGCACAACCAGAATGTTTTATTTCTTTCTTACATAACTGAAAAGTAATTTGCTTTGAGAAAACATTGAAGCTTAACTGCACATTTTAATGCAATGAGGAAAAGACACATTTTAAAGGAATAAGAAATTCAAGTGAGAGGCAATCATATTTCTCATTATATTCATTTTAAACAAGAGATTACTAAGTATTTTAAATTCCACAATTAGTATAATTACTAAAAGAAGTTGCACATGTTATATTTTGAGAGCTGAAGAATCCCAGATACCATCTTATCTTCAGCCTGGTTTTCAGGTAGAACCACTTGTAGATTTTGCCATGTTTTAATGTACTTATTTACCTTCTTTTACTAAAATGGGTGAAATGTGCATTTAATTAAAGACAATCACATTATAGGAATATACACTTATAAACAAGAGTAAAAAGCAAAACTTCAGTGCAAACCCAGAACTTGAATAAGTAACACAGCAAACTCATATTTTTATGGTTACTTAATTTCCTAATTTACAGGAGATGTGTTTTCATTTTAGCATACTTTGAAGGAAAAAAATCTGGATCAGGGAAAGTCAAGTATTTATTTTTGGACACATTGAACTATAACATATTATAATAATAATTGACATTCATTAAATATCTCCTATGTGTAAGATTTACTTACTTTACGTAGATCATGATGCAATCATTATAACAACTCTGTGAATAGATGCTATTATAAACAGATACTTGCAGATGGCTAAGACTTAAAGTGATTTATAAACTTCTAAAGTCACAATACTAATAAGTGGGAGAGTTAGAATTACCAGGTTGTATAACTTTAAAGACATTATTCTATAGCACCTATCAGCTGTCAGTATAATTGTTATAAACTTACAGCTACAGAACTGAACATACTTGCTTCCCTGGACCGATGAACAATTTAGTCAACCAATTCCTCATGAAGGGAAAATTTACACCTTCCTATCCCAGTCCTTCAGGAGAAAAAGATACTGTTTGAGGAATCAGCTAGGTGCAGAGTTAGTGACACTACGTAAGTGATTAGTATAGAGAAAGATCATTAGATTTAAGGTTAAAATTTAAAAGAAATTCAGTAGAAGAATTGTACTGGAGACTAACAGGCTAGTGTTAAGAATATTAACTGGATCAGGTAGAAATATGGTTTCCAATAGGGAAGGCACTCAGACGGTGCTTAGGCCAAAGGGATAGTGACACTGAAGTTCAAATGAGAAAAATCTCAGTGTATTGTTTAAATAATTCTAGAGCTAAAGCCTTGTTTACTGGTAAGTTTGATTATCGAATATTTATTCAGCTCATCATGGTCATATACGCCTACATATACAGTCTATGGAGAATTTAGTAAACACTGTGGTGTATTCCTTTAAGAAACCTTAATCCTTTCATCCAAAATTTGATTTTATACAAATAGACAGTTATTTAAAGGCACTTATGTTGATGAAGACCAGGATTTAAATTCATTGATATGCTTTTAGTTACAAAAGATCTATGGTTCTTTAGATCATTAGGATAACACTGGCAACACCTAGAAACAGTAGTATCATGAGATGTAAACACATATTCAATGTGTGCAATCTCCAGGCTCAAATACTTTGATGCATATGTCAGTTTGAGTCCTCCAAGAAGCAGATGCCAAGATTGGTTATAAAGAATCTCATAGCAGCTCAGAGAACGTTTCAACTGGGCCCATGGGGAGTCCTCAAGCTACAGCCAGCCATTAGAGGAGTCCCATGTCCTGTAGGAATAGACCTGCACTAGTATCCCCACAGTGCTCAGTTAATTATTGAGACCACCTGGAGAAAGTGTCACCTCAGCATGAAAGAGTGGTGAATACAGAGAAGCAATGATTGAGGTTGTTGGTCACCTGTGATCCCCAAAGCAAGTGATCTGAGCAACACATTTCTATGGCCATTTCCAAACACAGCATTTATTTTGCAATGTATATATTTTTATATAATCATTAAAACCAGTTCTGTTTGTGCTGCTCAACTTTTCATGGCCCAGTATCTTTCTCTCATTTTCGTAGTTGTGACTAGTTAATTTTTAGCTCTCTGCTAGGAAATGTCAGGTGCAATTGATATCAGAGATGAAGAAGCAAATTGGTCATTGACATTTTTATGAAGAAAACTGCCATTTCCACACCCTATGATTGGTTAGGCTTTTCCAGTCATGAACTCAACAATAACAACAACAAAATTGTAGAGGAAAAGAAAACAAAAAGCAACATCCTTTTTAATCTATTTGGTAGTGTGCTTTAATTTATCTGCTCAAGAAGAGAGATGGGATTTACAGTGCCGATTCTGAGATGTCAGATGAGGTATAAAAAGGGGTGTGAGGATTTGGATTTAGAAAGGCTTGGGTTTGAATGCCAGCTCAACTGCATTTGAATTATGTGACGGGACAACTTCCTTATTATTTTTCTTCACCTAAAGATGAGCATAAAATATTATCATATAGATCTGTCAAGAGGATAAGAAATAATTTATGTAAAATGGCCCTGGCACAGAATCCATGCTCAATAAACATCCTTACTGCTAAAGGATTATTAAACTTTTCAGAAAATAATCTCAATATTTTGGGAAATTATGAACAGGAAGATCCTTTACAGACATTAAATCTTCCTGGAAATTTTTCTCCAAAACATAAAATGGGCAATCTGTATTCTTAAACTGTACTAATTTTGTTGAGTATGAGCATTTTTATCTTAAAAGCAAAAACAAGTTTAAGGGTAAACTGGCATTCCTAAAATTCAGACTTGTGCTTTGCAAACAAGATGGTGAAAAATGTGACCATCCTTTCCATTTTCTACTTAAAAAAAAAAAAAAAGAAAACCATGTTGAGCACGTTGTGTGCAAAATAGCAGTAAGGCCCATTGGGCAGTAGCAACACTATCTTCCTGCAAATAGTTGTTCCCACCCCAGTGTTTAGGCTCACATGGCATCAGCTCTAAATGTGAAGCAATTCTGATGCTGTGATAGAATTCTTGAAAAATGAGTCTCATCTTGGAAATTATATTTGAAATGAGAAGGTAAATGTAATACCTTCAATGTACACCTACTATTTTTACCTAATCCTGGGCAATGATACAACTAGAGATACCTGAATGCCAGAAGAATAGATAAGAACTTTACCTTTAAAAAAAAGAGAGAGAGAATGATTACCTCCACTTGTTGGATTCAAAAGAAAAATTTAAATATATTTCTCATCTTCACGCTGTATTATTCCACCTGATAATAGTAAAGTAGCATAAATCCTAAATATAAAACAATTTACTTACGCTTCTCAGCACACAGATCACATAATTCTGTGCTTGTACACCAGTGTAAAAATGTGTTCTGGGAAGATCAAATTTCCCAGCTAGTTGTCTAAAGGACATTAACCCTCCATTATTTATTAGGCCGATTATAAAAGAAAGTTCTGCATGGTCCCAAAAGAGAAAAAAAAAATTGTCATGGTTCCCAGGAAGAAAAAATAAAAAGCAAGGATTATCCTTGAAAGCAAAGAAGAGAATAGATTTTTTGTCTTTTTTTTTTTTTTTTAAACCCAGTTGTCAGAAGAGTTGCCATGGGCACCATTAGGGGCCTAGGTTTAAATGTCAGATTTCTCTTCAACTACTATCCTTTTAACATTCTTTTTTGTTGTTCTTGTCCTGATTTCTCCTCCAGAGTTTTTTTAAACAATTCAACTAAATACCCTGTTTGACTCTACTATTCTTGAAGTATCCCTTTTTTCCTAAAAGCCCCCAAACTTTTGCTTTTAAGTGAATAAACTATTGCATTTTATGTACTCTTATTGTTTCATTGCATCTATATTCATATGGTGTAATAGAAGTGAAAGCATTTAAATCATTCAGAGGACTCCATATACCATAGAGTAGTATTAGTCATTATAAATAAAATAGAATTTAGCCAAGTCACGTCACCTTGTCATTATGCAGAACACTGATGTATGGCATATAGCACATTACATTATTTACTTGATAGAGGGTTTACATGTATGTGTGTGAAGGGATAATAAGGAAGTGCCCATGAGGAAGCAAATGAGAAAGATAAAACTCTGATTCTTAGGAACGAACTCTGATATGTGCTGAACACAGTGAGTATTTGAGTTGATATACCTTATAAACAAGTTTGAAAGAGTTTAAATCCAAGTTTAAGAAAACACTGGGAGAAAGTTAAGTTGCCTAATCTGGAAGGGGGCAAATGGCTTGACTCTTTTCTATTCTTCAGAAAAGGTGAGTTAGCAAGTTGATTTTGTTCCTAGGCTCTCATTGTTAAGAAAGCAAAATCAAGCTCAATTGTCCTAGGCTTCTCCTCCTCCCTTCTCCTCTTCCTGGCTGCCTGCCCTCCTCCCATTTGAAAAGTTGGACATTTATGTTTGGAATACTTTTTGCTAGTGTTAACATGCAAATGAACATTACTGAATGCTGAAGCAGCTTCATGAATAGGAAAGGCAGGCATGTGGGGGGATTTATATCTCTGTTGATGCAATTGTGTCAGGGTCTCTGGTGAGCCCCCAGCATGAGTGCCATCATTTGCATAAATGAAGGCCAGCTTCCCATTGGAGGGAAAAGAAGAATGCTACATTTCTTTCAACTGAACGCTTGTGGGCTAATCACTGCAGAAAAATACATGTATTATGTGAGTAGATTTGAATAACCCTTCAGAAGAGGGGTGGTAACAGAATGACTGAATAATCCATTTAACTTCACTCCAGACCAGCAATATTGCCCCTTTACTTCCCACTTACAAAGCTGAATGTCTTCATATTAAAAGACTTTTAGGTTTAATTGCTAGAGTACAATTTAGACTCGTAACTTAAGATCAAATAGTCCCGCAACTTCCAGGAAAATGTTACACATTTGAGTAACTCCAGAGGAAAAGTAACAATGTACTTTTAACATCCCACAGAGCAATGGTAAAAATACTATTGTCTTAATAGTAATAAAGTATTATTGCACTGTATATCAGAAAATAGTCATTGCAAAGCAAATAACATCAGTGATATTTTAATTTATCCAAGCAGGAATAAATGTGGGAGCAACCCAAAAGAGAGAAAAGAATTCAAGAAGGAGAAGAGGCCATTTTGAATTTCCGTTCCTGCTAGAAGGTTGGCCTGGCAGAATGCTTCTATTTTTGATCTCTGGTTTTTTAGTTTGCTTCAATAGGAGACAAGCATCCCCTTACATAAAAATAACTCAAACCTCAGTAAGCGTATACCAAAGGTTATGCTATGAGTTCTATGTTGTAAATAAAAGAGAAAAAAAGACAAATAAGGTAAATGTAAATGCGTGAAAGTAAGAAAATATAGAAATAAATACAAAATTGTTCTGCATAGATTACGAAAGCTGCAGGACTTCTGAGAAGAAGGTGGCTGCAAAGATGTAAGTGGTTAAGTTGTCCAGAAAGGCTTTAGGGAAGCAGTGGGATAAGGTGTGGATCCTAAAGGTGCGCTGTCCATGCAGTAGCTGCTAGCCACACTGGGCTGCTTACATTTAAATTTAAATTTAATTAAAATAAAATAACATTTAAACATAACTTCTTCACTCGTCACATTTCAAGTACTTGATAGTTACATATGACTATGCAGATATAGAATATTTACATCACTACATAAAGTCCTAAAAGATGAATGCAATTTGACATAGTAAAAACGTCAAGTTTGTGAGTTCCAGCAAGGAGATCACGAGTGAACGCAGAACAAAAAAGAAAATGATATGACATTAAATTCTAAGGAAAAGACTAGATTGACAGAACTAGAAATGTTTATATTGGAAAATAGAGGGAAAAAATATAAGGAAGACCTAATCTAAAGACCTTTGAAACTTGGGTAGATGTGGTGAACAAGGAAACAGCGTGACAAAAGCTGTACTTAGAATGATTATTCTGACAGCAGCGTGATTAGATCAAGGAAGGAAGAGTCTGAATATGGGATTTCTACTGAAGCTGCCACAATAATCCCCCTGTGGCAATGGTGACAGCCTGTACCAGAGGAGTGAGGGTGGGATGGGAGACCAAAAAATGGATACTAAAAAAATAAAATCCTAAGGAATGTCGTTTTTAGAAATTAGGAGTGAGGAAAATAAAAAACAAAAGAGAGAATAAATAATCACTTCAAGTTTGCTAACGTGAGTTTCTAGGAGAATTTCAGTTCTCCTAAACAAAAATAGAAATATGATAGTGGTTCTCAGTTTTTCCCTCATTCTGTGTATCCCCCACATTTCACTTTCACACTCTCCAAGATGATGACTTGACACCTCCTCCTCTTGCCTCTTCATTCCTCTGCCTCTCTGCCTACTCCACCATCAACTGATAATCTTGTCTCACGCTTTTTTGAGAAAATAAAAGCCGTCATGTAGGAACTCCGTCTTCCCACATGCAGCCAGCTACTCTCTTCCCCAGCCACCATTTCTCCCTTTCTCCTAACCTAGTGAATAAAGAAAGCCTTGTCCCATTCCATGCCAGCCCCTGCCCCTGTGCTCTGGAGCACCCTTCTTAGGTTTCGAAAGCCTTATACACAAATGACCTCTACTGTCTCTTCTATCATTAATTTCTTCCTGTAGCTTCTTTTCCACCACACACAACAAATGTACTGGGTTGTGAAACTTAATCATTCTTTCCACCCCCATTGTCCATCAGTCAAATGTTGGATGAGATTGAACCCTACCTTCACCTTCAGAGTGTAAGCAATTCAGGTCATATTATTCGCTTATACACAGTTACTGTTTGGGGATGTGAAAAGAACCAAGACCTCAGCCATTTTAGTTCATGAAATCCCTCTGGAAATTATGTTCAATTTATGTGGCTCCAATCAGGGTAAATGTTGGGACTTTTGTTTCCTCTCACTCTGAAATGTATGCTGTGAAGATAAAAAAGATCAGATACTATTGTTTTGTTATTATGATAAAAGCCGAAACTGAGTGCATAGAAAAATATCGAAAACTGCAGAACTGAGAGCTGAAGAAAAATATAGTTGGAGCCCCCAATTCTGGACTTTTTCAGGTACATGAACCATTCAATGTTCTTTATTGCTTAAGCCAACTTCAATTGTATGTTACAGCCAACAGTAAAATAACTGATACATTAAGTATCTTCGCCCAAAGCATGTCCTTCTTTAGACCCTTGTTCACATCTAGCTACTCTAACCTTTCTCTGCTCCCTGTCACAACAAAACTACTTAAAAGGTTTAATTTGTATAGCTTTTCTCGGACTTCTTATGCCTCCTTGACATAATCCTCTTGGGTTTCTCTTTCCAGTCTTCTATTGGACTATAGTTACCATCATCCCTAATTTCCTTCACGTTACATAACCAAAGACCACATATTTTATTTATTTCACTTGGTCTCTCAACAGCATTCAACAGGGTCAACAATTTGAAAACACTATTTTCTCTTGTCTTCAATGGAGTTAAACTCTTTTTTTTCCTCAAGTTCACATTATCAGAGTTCAGGTGCAAGAAATAGAAATCACTGTGGCATCTGAAAGACAAGGAGATGTAACACAAGGAATTATGTGCTGTCCAAATGATTAGAGAAGCTGGAGGAGAAGGCTCTCCATGAGTCCTGAGATTACGCCCGGGATAATATTTTAGATCTGCAAAAATCAGAATCTTGGATCATTAGAAAGTCATCCTGAATCCTTGTCTCTAGGAATACATGCCATCATTCACTTGGTTTCTAGAGCCAAACTTCCAGGAATCAATCTTGAGTTGTCTTTTTCCTTCATTCTCTCTATATAATCAACAAAGCAATCCAATCCAACTCTAAAATAAATTCTGCATCTACCATTGTCTGTTATCTGCGTTACCACCTTCCTGTACAAGTCTCCATAATTTGATCACATAGACTATAGGCAGAGTCTCTAAACTGGTCTATCTGCAGCAGCTGTTTCCTGCATTCTGCACATGGCATCCAGAATAATCATTTTGCAATAAAATTAGATCATACAATTTTCTTGCTCAAAATTTGACAGTGGTTCTCAGCGGCACCTAGAATAGAATTCCAACTTTTCATATGCACTGAGAACTGGCCTTTGCTCACCTGCCCAACCTTCTCATACCTTTCTCTTCTTCCGCATTCCTCTACCCACACCAATCACTTCCTGTTCTTGGAATATACCAAAATTGATCCCACATTAGGGCATGTGCACTCACCTTTCCTTCCTCTCACAAGATTCTTCTCTCAGACATTCACAGGACTGACTCCTTCTAATCATTTAGGTTTCAACAATTTCATAGAATGGTTTTCTCAGATTTCCAAGTCTAACATAGCTTCTCCCACTCACTCTATCCCATTACCCTGTTTATTGTCTTCATAGCATACCAATCATTTAAAATTCTCTGGCCCATTTTCTATTAAGTTTCAAGAAAGTCATGATTTGTCTGTCATGCTTCGCACCTAGACTAGTACCTCTTCTCTCCACCTAGTTGCTCCTTAGTCTTGAGATCTAACAGGAACTCCATAAATGTCTGTTGTGTGATTAATTGGATTCTTAGTAAATAGCCCAAACCAACTGCTTAAAATCTCACATGTACATTTATTGATAGATAGCATAGAATAGTGAACAAAAAAAAAAATCTCATTCCTCTACAGGGATGGGACCCTTTTCTGGAATAGGCATGGAGGACAGCCGCAGTATAGAAAATCAAATTAGGCCTAGGAAAAGCTACCAGTCAGCACTAAGAAAGATCAGGGAAGAAGAGAGGCAGTATCCTCCTTCCACATTCATGAAAAATGTCAGCAAACATTATACTGAATTCCAAATTTCCCTGAAGATTGTAGTTGTTTCACTTGTAAGCCAACTCAATGACATATTGTAGGCCTACATAAAATAAACCAGAGTCTATCTAGTTTCTAGTATCTAGTTTAATTCAGTCTTTCTAGTATCTTGGAAACAGTCATGAATTGGGCTCTCAAATTAACACTTAAATTCTTAACTTCTGAAAGGTCCCCTCTCTATACACTATATAAAAGGATAAAAGTTATTCTAAGTAATTCTTAAAAGAAGTAATGTAAATTTGAAATGATACGTTTAGAAGAACAGGAAACCAGATGACTTTGCAAAGAGTTCTATATGTGGGATGTGTTAGAAAGAAAGAAGGTGATGTCTGTTTTTTTAAAATACCACCTTATTTGATAAGGAAGGACTGACTCCTAGTCTGGATTGACAACGTTTTAGAAAGTCCCCAAGTTTAAAGAACTGGGTGACAAGAAGAGGAATACTTCCAGAAACCTCACCATATTTGGAGAACGTAAATATCTCCTGCTGTGAGGAAACTTGGTCTCTCCTGAATAATCGACCTTCAATCTTGGATTGATTATGCATCAGAGAAAATCCTGACTCAGGGTTAGCTGGCAGAAAACAGAATGCTTTCATGCCTAGGGTCCAACAGAATAATCCTTTTATTACCTAATTACATGTGTGTGTGCCTTGGTATTGTTCTACACAAATCCATGGTATTAATGCACTTTCTTTTAATCACTAATATAATTGTTACCTATGTCCTTTTATTTATAACATGATTATTATGATCATTAAAATCACTACTGCAAATTATTATCTTCACTTTTCTCCAAACTAAATATAACTGATCATTCTTTTCTTAAATTATTAACTATCAACTTTCCTTACTCTACAACGAGGTTGGTGCTATTAAATAGTTATATTTTTCCCTCTTTTTCTAGCCTTTACATATCTCTGTAGCTCAATCTTTATCTCATTTGCTCTTGTTTTTCGTGTGTTTTCCGATTCAAAGTTTATTTTCTAAGGCTAAGCCCTACTTTTCCTAGTTTCTAAGTACCGTATCTTCCCATATTTTCTTGAACCTCTTCCTTTTCTAGGTTACCCTATTTTTTATTCATATGTTTACAAATGGTCCAGGGGTAACTGAAGGAAACTTTCAGCCAAACTGATCTGTAAGGGCAACAAAGCACAGTGTGAATATCAGAAATTTGTAGAAGTTAGCTCAGGTTTCTGTATGCAACTCCTCAGATGATTGGCAAAATGTAAAGTGGCAACCTTCCACAAAGTAGACAGCACCCTCGAGTGAATATAAAAACATTTCTCATCATTGCCAATCTTTTTCTACAATTTAAGTATCACTTTTTTCATGTTTAAGCACAAATTTCTCAACACAACCACAGATCTCAACACTTTTTCTCTTACCAGTGAGCTAACAGCCCTCACATTATCACTTTTAGATACTCCAGGCTTCAAGATTTTTCCATTACCATTAAAAAGAAAAGGTTTTTATACCCATGATAAGTATTCTAGTTTATTATTAACCCTCTAATATATAGTTTTTAATTCCTCACTTTACTAAAATTGTATACCTGCACCAATGAATTAAAAGTCAACAAATACCGAGACCTTTTGTCAGGCTTCAACTCAACTGACTCTCTGTAGCCACTGACGTTGTTGCTGTTTTTATAAACTCTCCTGTATGAGTTTAATGATTCTACCTTCTTCCTCTTCTTCTTCTTCTTCTCCTTCTACTTCTTCTTCTTACAGTTTCTTACTCTATTGCCCAGGCTACAGTGCAGTGCTGTGATCATAGCTCACTGTAGCCTTGAACTCCTGGGCTCAACGGATTCTCACACCTCGGCTTCATTACCCCTGTACCTTTTTCACCCTTATATAAAAGTGGAAACCTCCCAAGAAAACATCCTTCAAACATTTGTGCTTAGTGATTACACATTTCTAAGTCAGATGAGTTCCAGGGTTTCTTAAATCACTTAAATTTCTGAAATGACCTCTAAGCTCTAGATCTGATTTGGTATTGTTCTACACAAATCCATGGTATTAATGGATTACTGTGTCTATAAGAACAGGAAACCCAATGAATTTGCAAAGAGTTCTGTATGAGAGATGTGTTAGAAAGAAAGAAGGTGATGTCTGTTTTTTGGTTTTCTGTACCTGCTGGCTCTCTTCCCTGATCACCTCAAAACTAATTGCTCTCTTTTACTTAGGTGTGTGATGCTCTTTAAAAGCAAAGCCTTAGTAAGAAGATGATAGCCACCTCTAAGTACCTGGAGAATGGGTACATAGAGAAAAAAATTAGATGTCTCATGAAGTATCGCAGAAAAGAGCCAGCACCAATAGGTTAGAAGGCTCAGAAAGGTAGATTTTTGAATTATTATATATATAAAAACTTTCTAAAACTTTTTAGACTAATTTTTAGTTCAATATAAAAATAAAATATTTTATATGAATTTTCAGAGTATTCTGTGCATATTAGCTACTTAAGTGTGTATTGCTGTCAGGAAAATAATAGAATTCATGACTTCTTACATTGATAATTTGTTTCTAATAAAATGGGAATTATGTGGTGACAACAAGATTGATTAAATGATAGTACTTTTGCTTATATGTCATATATCAGACAAAATTATGCTTCAGATGAATTCATATTGGCATTCTCTTCCTTTGCCTTGAGGAAGCAACAATTTCTTAAACAGCACACTAAACAGCACTAATCATAAAGAAAAGAATGATAAATTGAACATCATTAAAACTACAAACTTTTTAAAGAGAAATTCTGCTCATCAGAAACACCATTAAGGGAATAAAAAGATAAGCACATACTGAAAGAAGATATTTGCAATACACAAATCTGACAAAGGACTCATATCCCAAGTACACAGGTTAAAATTAAAAGGCAGATGTTTCTCTAAGGCCTACTTGAGACCTTAAGGCCCTAAGAATATCCACAGGACATTTTCTTTAGATGCTGAATTGAGATCTCAGGTGGAGTTTTCTCTGTTTAATGAAAGCTGAATAATGATAAAGACCACTTTACTTCCAGGAATAAAGAGTATTATATGTCTAGTTTTGAATTCTAGTGAAATATTGTGCTACATTTGGCACATGTGTTTACTATTTTAGATGAGAAGATACTTAACAAGTGGAATATTTCCTTCATTTCTACTCTTGCTGTGACATAGTAGAACTTCAATGTAGTTTATTCAAAACACTTATTATCATTTCCCTTAGTAAGTGCTCTTTAACACAATTCAAGTACAAGATGCTCAGATGGAATATGGATGACCGGAACTATTAGTTTTGCCTGAATTGTTTTTTCTTCTTGTTTCTTGGAATAGTACTTTTTATGATGGTTATTACTATTCTGTAACTCATGAATTGTCAGACTATTAGTGAAGCAGATATCCACTGCTTTGATAGACTCCCTGGCACCAAAACTCCAAAATTTCTCTAATCTAAAAGAGGACTTTTAGATTAGTCTGTGGTTGATGGTCTGGTGCTGCAAACCTCAAACGTTAAATGAACATCCATACAATTGTTGCTTACAACTTTGTCCTGGGAGGCCCATGGTCGAATTCCTCTTTGTAAAACTAAAGCTCTCCTAATATTCTCAGTACAATTAATGGTTTTCCTTACTTTTCCACAGAACAAATAAGCTTTGTAAGTTAGGACTGTTCACTGTTATATGTAATAAGCCACAAGAAGATAGCTACTATTGTTATCCCTATTTGATAGAGGAGGGAATTAAAGCACAGATTTGTTAAGTAACTGCCCCATGTGGTGGGTGGTAAAGCCAGAATTTGAGCCTCCTCAGCCTATTGTCCTAATTTTAACTGTTGCTGTTTTTTTCTATTTAGCTTTTCAGGGGTCTCATAAATATCACTTCTTTTTTGCTAAAGTTTTGAACTAATGAAGAATGAAGATAAAATAGTAAAGACAAATGGGAAATAAATTACTGTAAAACCCTGTAATACTGAGTCCCACAATAATGTAAATGTCAACATATCGTGATAGGTGCTTGACTCCTTCCTTTGCCCAAACCTTGTTTTCAAACTGGAATGGTCTAATATTTGTACCTTTCCTAAGAATGCTGTTAGATGGCAACAATTATCACAAAATCAAAAATAAAGAGACTGTCAAGTAACTTGACCAAGGTCACATTCCCTATAGGAAATGAAGCAGGATGCGGGAATTTGAGCACAGATAAATCTGTATTAGAAGCCCATGTTCTTTCCAGTTTGTATATTGCTTCTTTTAGCTCTGTACATAATGGATTATTGCTATTATAGAACAATTTATTCATATTTTGGTAGGTATCATGGCTATATTTTGTAATTTACTTCTCATCTAGATGAAATTATTAATAAATTCTAACTATCATTTTCTGACATTGTAAATTTTTACTTCAATTCAGCAAGCAGTGCTTAAAGTCAAATTGTCAATAAGTAATTGGGTTATTAGGGGATTCTTTGCAAAGTAATTTCTATTAATTATGTAATATGTGTAGAATTCTATGGTGACATTTACCAACTAATTCCTGATAAGTACTTTTATCAAATGTATTTCATTTTGCTTTTTAAAAGTATTTTCCACCAGTAAGCAGATTTTATGTGCTTAATAAGACTAGATAACTTTATCAAAAGAGCAGAAATCAAGGCAAAATTTATCCTTGCCTTATTAAATGTGCCTAGAAATTCAGTCTACAACTTAGAATAGTTTAGATTCAACTTTGAATAAAAGGGTTGATATGCCTCAACAAAGGACTCACTTAATTTTAGTTTGCTTTTGAAATTAACATTCTAATGTACTAATTTAGAGACACCAATAAAGGTAATGATGGCACAATTAATCTGATAACTTCTTCAGAATAATTCCTGATAATATGTTTTCTCAGCCTGGAGAACTGAACTTATGAAACACTGGCAATTGCATTAAATTATTATTTGATAGTGACTTTTATAGCCATTATTTCTGATTTTTGTTTAACTGAAAGAACCGTTACTTTTTCTTCTTATTTGAACAGCTCTGAACAAGTCTAATATTATAAATTACAGTATATAACATCACAAAATTATAAAACTATTGTAACCAAATAAATTACATACATATATGCACAATATCAAAGTTCTAGTTTAATCCTGGAATGAAAACAACGTAGTATACACTCCTTACTTCTACTTATTACACATTCTTTCTCCCATGTGCAACACGGTGCCTCCAAGTTGTCCTGCAACTGTTCACCTAAAGTATGTCTTTACGTATGTCTAAAGTATGTTTACCAAGGTTTAAACATAACTGGTCCTGAAATTTGATTATAGCCAAGACTGAGAAACTAAAGAAATAAGTTAAATTGGATTTAGTAGATATTATGAAGTAGTAAGTCCTTAGAAAAATTGAATTTCCAAAATAGTATAGATATTTTTATTTTTATTTTTTATTTCAAAATTTGATTTTACTTACATTTATTCATTTATTTACTTATTTAGTGATTTATTTTTATTATACTTTAAGTTTTAGGATACATGTGCAGAACATGCAGGTTTGTTACATAGGTATACACGTGCCTGGTGGTTTGCTGCACCCATCAAACCATCATCAACATTAGGTATGTCTCCTAATGCTATCCCTCCTCTAGCCCCTCACTCCAGACAGGCCCTGGTGTGTAATGTTCCCCTCCCTGTGTCCATGTGTTCTCATTGCTCACCTCCCACTTATGAGTGAGAACATGCGGTGTTTGGTTTTCTGTTCCTGTATTAGTTTGCTGAGAATGATGGTTTCCAGCTTCATCCATGTCCCGGCAAAGGACATGAACTCATCCTTTTTTATGGCTGCATAGTATTCCATGGTGTATATGTGCCATATTTTCTTTATCCAGTCTATCATTGATGGGCATTTGGGTTGGTTCTAAGTCTTTGCTATTGTGAATAATGCTGCAATAAACATACGTGTGCATGTGTCTTTGTAGTAGAATGATTTGTAATTCTTTGGGTATATACTCAGTAATGGGATTGCTGGGTCAAACAGTATTTCCGGTTCTAGATCCTTGAGGAATCGCCACACTGTCTTCCACAATGGTTGAACTAATTTACACTCCCACCAACAGTGTAAAAGCATTCCTATTTCTCCACATCCTTTCCAGAGTCTGTTGTTTCCTAACTTTTTTTTTTTTTTTTTGAGATGGAGTCTCACTCTGTCACCCAGGCTGGAGTGCAGTTGTACAATCTTGGCTCACTGCAAGCTCCGCCTCCCGGGTTCATGCCATTCTCCTGCCTCAGCCTCCTGAGTAGCTGGGACTACAGGCACCCACCACCATGCCCAGCTAATTTTGTTTCTGTATTTTTAGTAGAGACGGGGTTTCACCGCGATAGCCAGGATGGTCTCAATCTCCTGACCTCGTGATCCACCCGCCTTGGCCTCCCCAACTGCTGGGATTACAGGCGTGAACCACTGCAGCTGGCCATTTCCTAACTTTTTAATGATCGCCATTCTAACTGGCCTCAGATGGTATCTCATTGTTGTTTTGATTTGCATTTCTCTAATGACTAGTTATGATGATCTTTTTTTCATATGTTTGTTGGCCACATAAATGTCTTTTTTTGAGAAGTGTCTGTTCATATCCTTCGCCCACTTTTTGATGGAGCTGTTTGTTTTTTTCTTGTAAATTCGTTTAAGTTCCTTGTAGATTCTGGATATTTTTATAACAACACATTAATAAGATAATTTCTCCCCCCTCCCCTATTCTGTTTTAGAAATCATCCAAAATAATGAAAAAGATAAACAGAAATGCAAACTCCAATTTCAATAAAACTAGAAGATTTCCACAAACTAAAACTACACAATTTGATGAAGGGTTGTTGAAAGCAGCGAAGTTCAAGTAGGATACAGAAAAACTTGAGAGAGAATGCTAGAAAGCAGCTGAGAAAGTTTCAGACTGTAACTCTCTAAACAAGGGAAACATTTAATATTCAAGATCCATAATATTTTGTTTGGAACAACAGGGAAGCAAGGAGGTGGAGGAAGACTACCTGTATATAGTCTGTCATCTGATTTTAAGAAGCAGAGAAAATGGCACTGAGCAAGGATCCAAATAATATAACCAATTTGCAGAACACCATTTGTCAGTTGGACAGAGAAGGAGAAAGACTGCATTAGGAGGTGCCTAAGTGCCAACATCAGTGAGCTGGGGTGACATACAAGTGAAAAGAATTCACCTACGGATAACCATAGGTTATGGGGAAAATTCCTGCTACAGGGAATACAACCCTGTCCCCATCTCCACATGGACATGTTGCAAGTAGCTGATACAAAAAAATTTCACCTCATTCACAAGAGTATATCAATTAGAAACAAACCAGAGAAGAGGCTGGAAAGATTTCTAAAACAGAGAACAGAAGAAACAGGGAGAAAATGCCAAGCAAAGTGTACTTACTAACAAAATGTTACCATGTTAACAGTAAAAACTGGTGGTCTACAGTAAAGCCATAACTTTAAATAAACTTTAAATTTAACGTTTGTTAAATTTAAATCTAATATCTAATTAACACCTCAATAAGATAAGGATGCCTATGTTTTAGGAAGAAAATTATTATTTTCTATAAAAATTATTTCTGGCTGGGCGTGGTGGCTCACGCCTGTAATCCCAGCACTTTGGGAGGCCGAGGTGGGCAGATCACAAGGTCAGGAAATCGAGACAATCCTGGCTAACACGGTAAAACCACGTCTCTACTAAAAATATGAAAAAAAAAAAAAAAGGCCAGGCGTGGTGTGCAGTGGCTCACGCCTGTAATCCCAGCACTTTGGGAGGCCGAGGTGAGTGGATCACGAGGTCAGGAGATGGAGACCATCCTGGCTAACATGATGAAACCCCATCTTTACTAAATATACAAACAATTAGCCGCGCGTGGTGGCGGGTGCCTGTAGTCCCAGCTACTTGGGAGGCTGAGGCAGGGGTATGGCGTGAACCCGGGAGGCGGAGCTTGCAGTAAGCCGAGATGGCGCCACTGCACTCCAGCCTGGGTGACAGAGCAAGACTCCATCTCAAAAAATAAATTATTTCTGAATTATTTACAAAAAAATAGAGTAAAAAATTTGAAAAAAGAAGTGAAAGAAAAAAAAATACTCAACATGCAAAAGGATATCCTCTTCACCTCTATTTTTAAGCTTTATTCTACAACTACCAGCCAACAAATTCAGGGGAAGAAGCACATGAGACATAAAAATTGGACAAGAATAAATAAAATTATCACTATTTGTAAATAATATTATTATTTGCTGGGAAAGGCCAATGAAATCAACTGAAAAACTATTACAAATTTTATGAGGAATTATTATGACACCTGAATATGAAATTAATATCAAGAAATCAATAGTCTTCATGGAGTCAGACAACCAAATAGAAGCTAAAGGAAGAAAATGCCAAATATAACTACTATCAAAATGATAAAACACCTAGAGATGTACTTAAGAAATATATGAGATCTGAATAAAATGGTAACTTTACAATATTACCAAGAGACACAGAAGATGAAAAACAATACCATTCTTGAATTAGAACCCTTGATATCATAAGGATATCCCTTATCTAAATTAACAAATAATATGAACCCAATAATATCACTTTTAAAAAATAAAACCAGGCACTTCTAAAATGTGTGTGTGTGTGTATGTGTGTGTGTGTGTTGCAAGAATAACCAAGATAAGGCTGGTAATAAGGGTTGGGGAGAGACTGGTTGTCTAGATACTAAAATCTTTTATAAAATTATAGTAATTAAAAATGGATATTTATGCACAATGAGCAAAATAGGTCAATAAAAGAGAGATAACAAAATCTATAATTAGATCTAATGCATGTAGTAATTTAGTATAATAAAAATAGTATTTCAGATACATATGGGGAATATGGATTATTTAATAAAGGAGTTCAGATCACTTGCCAAATACATAGAAAAAAATAAGTTGTTTTTCTAACTCATGCCTTACACAAAGTCAATTCCAAATAGCTCAAAGACTTAAACATAAGCATACCCTAAAAGTACTAAAATAAAGCATAAAAATATAATCTTAGAAAAGAGAAGCCTTTCTGGAGGATGTTGCAAAACTCAGAAACATAAAAGAAAAGATACTTTTAACTGCATACAAATTTACATTTTCTGGAAATAATCAAAAAATCAAAAGACAAATGGGAAACAAGAAAAAATTACAACATATCACCAACTTAAAGTTAATTTCCTTATGTATAAGAATCTTACTAATCAATTAATGAAACTCAAACATAACTTATAAGAGTTGAAATTAATAACACTCTAAGAATAGGAATGTCATAATTGTTATCAAAATTATAAATTTCCAAACTCTTTCTTTCATCAATTCTACTAGGACTTTATAGCAGATTTGGTAACATACAGGGAAAATGGGATACAGAGAAGGATAGCTGTTATAACATTGTTTCCATTAGAAAAAGATTGACAAAAAATGCAAAGATCCATACTGAACTCCTACACTGAAGGTTGGTAAAACGTTTAATGGCATATTCCTAAACTAGGTACTATGAAGACATTAAAAATAATGATAGTGTTACATATTTTTACCATGGAAAATCGCTAAGATACCCTAAGTGGAAAAAACAAGAAACAGAGCAGATAGAACAGTATGCATATATGTTACTATTACTGATTACATATTGGATATGCATTTTTATATAACATTATATGATACCATTAGATATTACATATACTATAGGCATATTATGATACATAGTGATATATGTGTACATATACACATATGTCTAGAGTATTTAGAAAACAACTGGTATTAGTGGTTGTCTTTGAAATAAATACTTTGAACTATTTATATTACCTATTCTATAAATAACTAAAATATTCATGAAATAAAATTTAAAGTTTTAATTAAACAAACATCATTGAAAAAAAGGTCTCTTCCCTTTAGCCTTTCTTTCTCAGTGTTCCTCTGCTCTTTTCTCTGTGTGAGAGTGAGTAGTGCAATGTGAAGCTGGTTGGGATGATGAATAGTCTCTCTTAGGCAGGAAGAGATCAGCTCCAGAAAAAATAGAGCCATAAAATTTGAAATATTTTCTGGTTAGGGGTCTGCCAATCTGTACATTAAAGGAAAAAAAAAAATGAAAGGTGTTCCAGACTCCAAGGCCAGGAGAAGATGCAGAAAAATGAAAAAAAAAAGTTGGGAAATTTATGTTTGTCAGAGACTCTTTTTTAATTCCTCTGGTTCTTTAGGTTAACATTCTGTGCACATCAGCAAAGTTCCCAAACCCAACTGCCATCATTTCTGAAAAGAGCAAAGAACGAGGCAGCCCTTTCATTCTGGAATCTCCAAGTGCTACAGGCATCTCTGTGGGGGTGATCACATCTCTAACCATTCTCCTTTGCTACTGTAGGCCCACTTTACAATGTATTGTAATTACCAGCATTTAAATTAATACAAAGTGCTAGCTTCTAAAATTACTGTCTTATTATGAATCAATAATCAAAAATACAAAAGGTTTTATCTCTTATAAATGCTAGTAATCATGTTACCCATACCACTCCTAAGGCAGATAAGGGTTGTTACTATTACTGATTATATATTGGATATGCATTTATATATAACATTATATAATACTACTAGATATTACATATATTATAGGTATATTATGATACATAGTGATATATGTGTACATATACACATATAATATGTCTAGAGTATTTACAAAACAATTGGTATTAGTGGTTGTCTTTGAAATAAATACTTTGTACTATTTATATTACCTATTCTATAAATAACTAAAATATTTGTGAAATAAAATTTAAAGTTTTAATTAAACATCATTAAAAAAAGGTCTCTTCCCTTTAGCCTTTCTTTCAATAGATTGGGGCTAGGGTTGGCTCAATAAAAAGCTAAACATGTATTTGCAGAATTCTAATCACCTGTTTCCCTCCTCTCTATAGGGGAGTGGAACTGGGGCAACAAATAGAGTTTTCATCACGACATAACAAATGTTTTGATGGGAATTGTTTAAGTTTGATTTTTCTCCAAAGCAGAGCCTAAGACAAGAATCTCAATGCAAGTGTTGTATATAGGAAGTGGTCTCAGGAAACAGAAGTGAGGGGCCATGAAATGTGACACGGGGATAGGAAGAAAGCTAATTAAGGCTGTGGTACTAAGCTGGTTACCACTTAGAGCATCTGGGTGTCAATCCCAAGTGAGATCCTCTGAGAAACTGTGTAGACCACCTCTCTGATTTGTTCCTCTGATAGATGGGTGATTGAGAAATTTATCTATCCATTCTAGTGCCTTACTGGTTAAGGTTGCCCAAAGGGCATTAACTCCTTGCACCTCCAAGCTGCCCAATTTTGGGGCTAAGTGAACTGTCCAGGGCTTCAGAAAATGCTAAGAAACACAGCAAGGGCTTGAGGTGGGAAGCCGCCATTGTGCACGGGAACATCCCACCACAACTGCTTCTGAAATCACATGTGGGCCAAGCAGCTGTGGTGCATGGTACAAAACATGTCTGCTCCAGAGTTAAAGAAATAGTTAAAGACTGCAGCTCAAAGGAAACTAACTACATAAACACATTTACATCATACCATATGCTAGATCCCTGAAAGTCTTAAGGGATTTCTAAAGTTTCTCGTATTACAGATTGTCACAGATAACTAGCAAGATTTTAGTGCACAGGGCCTAGTGGTCGTGCAGAATAAAGAGATAACCCCCTGTATTTTGGGACATATTTGAAAATTCAGACATTTATTATGAGGTTGATGGGATCACCAGTCAAAATGCCTAAACTGAAATAACTTGATTTGGGAGTTTCCACTGAATAAAGTGAAACCAAAAATCAGTATTATTCCACAGCAAGTAACTTGTCCTATTCACAAAGTTCCTTAAGGTTAGTGTTTATCATAATGAGGCAGAGATGGTGCATAGCCCAAAATTCTTGCTTACCTCCCACAATGGAGCTATCACTCCCAGCCAGCAGGAATTACGTTTCCCAATCCCCGTTTGAATCCACTTATCAGCATGGAATGTGTGTTTCTGAATTCATTGTCCCTAAGGTTCTTTGTCCCTCCAGAGTCTCTGCAGGCCTGGGGTAGGTGCATTCACCCAGTTTTTAGAGTGACAACTGTGATACCGGGGGTGGGGTGGGCGGCAGGGGGGCCAATTGCTTGAACTGCTTTATATAGAGACTTTCAAACAGTTCTTTTTTTTATTATATATATGTTTTTATTTCAATAGCTTTTGGGGTGCAAGTGGTTTTGGTTACATGGGTGAATTACACAGTGGTGGTGAATTCTGAAATTCTAGTATAACCATCACCCAAGTAGTACACGTTGTACCCAGTATGTAATTTTTAATCCTATACCCTCCTCTCTCTCTCCCCCTTCTAAGCCTCCAAAGGGCGTTATATCAACTCTGCATGCTTTTGCGTACTCATAGCCTAGCTCCCACTTATAAGCGAGAATGTATGGTTTTTGTTTTTCCATTCCTGGGTTACTTCACTTTGCAGCTTCATCCAAATTGCCACAAAAGACATTATTTCATTCTTTTTTATGGCTGAATAGCATTCCATGGTGTGTGTGTGTGTGTATATGTGTATATATATGTTGTGTGTGTATATATATATGTGTGTATATATATGTTGTGTGTGTATATGTATATATATAAAACCCTTTCAATCAAATAAGCAACAATGTTGGATAAATGTTAGAAAATCTCATTATTAACTACTGCTATATATATATATAATATATATACATATGTATATGTGTACATATACACATATAATATGTCTAGAGTATTTATAAAACAACTGGTATTAGTGGTTGTCTTTGAAATAAATACTTTGTACTATTTATATTACCTAGTCTATAAATAACTAAAATATTCATGAAATAAAATTTAAAGTTTTAATTAAACAAACATCATTGAAAAAAATGGTCTCTTCCCTTTAGCCTTTCTTTCAATAGAGTGGGGCTAGGGTTGGCTCAGTAAAAAATTATATATATATATACACATATATAATTTCATTTATCCACTTGTCAGTCGACAGGCACTTAGGTTGGTTCCATATCTTTGCAGTTGTGAACTGGGCTGCAATGAACATATATGTGCATGTGTCTTTTTCATTAATAACTTCTTTTCATTTGGTAGATACCCAGGAGTAGGGTTGCTGGATCAAATGGTAGATCTACTTTGGTTCTTTAAGGAATCTCCATACTGTTTTCCATAGAGGTTGCACTAATTTACATTCCCACCAGCAGTGTATGTGTTCCCCTTTCACCACATCCACATCAACATCTATTGTTTTTGGACTTCTTGATAATGGCCATTCTTGCAGGAATAAAGTGGTATCTCGTTGTGGTTTTAATTTGCATCTCCCTCATGATTTGTGATGTTGAGCACTTTTTCATATATTTGTTGGACATTTGTATATCTTCTTTTGTGAAATGTCTATATGTCCTTTGCCCACTTTTTGATGTGATTACTTGTTGTTTTTTTTTTTCTTGCTGATATGTTTCAGTTCCTTGTATAATAGATTCTGGATACCTGTCCTTTACCAGATGCATAGTCTGAAAATATTTTCTCCTATTCTATGGGTTGTCTGTTTACTCTGATGATTATTTCTTTTGCTGTGCAGAAGCTTTTTAATGTTTTCAGTCCTATTTCCCCTCCTCCACCACCACCATCCCCTTTTATAAAGGTTATTGCTGTTGTCAATTGCTGAGAATTTCTGGCATTGCCTAGTGGGAAACAACCACTTCTGACTCTTTTTTTAAACAGGCTTGAACATATGCATTTCTTTTCATCCCTTCAGATAAAGGGCAAGGTGACAGAGTAGATAGGGCAAAATCCATAGGGTCCTAAGCACAGGAGCTTCTGTCCATGGAGTTAGGGTGTTCACCCTTCCAGCACATGGACACATTCACCAACTCAGAAGCTCATCAAATCCCAATGTTTGAGAGTTTTTATAGAGCTAATCACCAGCCCCCAACCTGTTCCCCTTCCCAAGGCCAGTGGTTGGGGCTGAAACTTTCTCTACAAGCCAGTTTTGGTTTTAATTTTTCTGTCAGCTAAATTAACTACTGCATAAGCATCTATTTTTGCTGCTTAAAATCTCTCCTCTTCTGTTCTTTTTTTTTTTTTTTTTGGTAGCTTCAAGCCATCTAAAATTCTTTTAATGTCATTATACTGCAGTTCCAAGAGTGAGTGGATGCAAATGCTGGCATTCCGTCATGTTTAACCCTTATTATCCAAACAGAATTACATGTCAACCATGTGCTGGGAATTTTTAAAAATGAATATAACCTGCCCTGTTTCCTCCAGAGCTTCCTCACAAAAAAAAAATTTAAACTTACCTATATACTAGGTAAGACAGTCTTCCAAAAACTCACTTACCCTTTCAATCAAATAAGCAACAATGTTGGATAAATGTTAGAAAATCTTTCCTGCTGTTTTGGGCTATTCCTGGGTAGCTCTGTTAATAGAAAACTAAAGCTGTATCTTGCCTATTAGTCTGTTTTTTGTTTTTTGTTTTTGTTTTTTTGTATGTGCAAAGTTACTCAAGGTAGAATATCCAAGCCTTGGATGATTCATTGAGATGTCATTTCCGAAACTAATCACTTCTCAAAGTTATATTTCAACCAGTTGAAAGAAAAGTCATTCATTGCCAAGACAGGGAGTCTTGGATGGAATTCCAGACATCTGTGAGGAGCCAAGTATCCAGAATGATCTAGTCTTCTCTCAGAAAGGAAAGGCTGTTAGAAAGAACTGACAAACAGCTGTGACAGCTTATATAGGTTATACTACACAGACACAAACTAAAAAAATGAGGGCACAAGAAGGAAACCAATACAAGAAAATAGAGTGAATCATTTGTCAGTGGCATTCATTCAATTGTTCTTCACATATAAATATATAAATATACATAATGATGCTAGAAAGCAGCAAGGGCTGCATGAATCAATTATATCACATTTTATGGCCCGAACACTGTGCTGGTAGCAACTCCAAAGAATTTTTCTTCTATCAATGCGCTACTGTTGATTTGTGTAACTTTGCAGCAATTTCCAAAAAGAAAAAAAAAAATTCCCGAGGAAAAGGATTGTATGCAGACTATGTTCCTGTTGTTTGTTCTTTAGGTTCCCTCACCACTCAGACTGCTCTAAAGCAGCGTTAAACTCATAAGTGAGACTCAGTGTGTGTCTGTCAACACAGTTTATATGCACATTCTAGTTTGACAAAGCAAACTGTATCCACTTTATAGAAAAATCACAGGAAAAATAATAAGTTGTAAAATATTATTGATACTACCACATCCTGATTGTTGTCTTGTCTACTTCCACAAAAGCTTTCACTTTGATTGGGTGAGGGAAAAAAAAAAAACCTAAGTTGTTAAATACGGTAGTCTGTCATTTTATTAGAAAAACCCCTTCTCAGTCCTTGCCATAACTATATACACATTTCAGTCAGTGCAAGGGAGAGGAAGAAAGAGAAAAAGAAGGGATTCTGGTAATAAAAGTGCCATTTATCCCAGCCAAAATGATGCTGCCATTGTCCAGCCCATGGGGACAGTCTCTTTCTTTCATTCGAAGATTTTTTTGAAGTCACTGAACTTAGTGGGTGAGAGACCAGGACCAAAACCAGGTAAAGTGAGAGACAATTACTTGATCTCTTTTTCCTTTAAACATCATTCATTTGCCAGGTAACCACACCAGGAAGAAACAGAGCTAAGGAACTAGCCATGCATTGGACAAGAAAGAGGCAACATAGGAGCTTCAGATACGTTTGGCCATCTATACTTTCACATCACTGAAAGTAATCCCTTACCTTAATATTACTGAATTAGAAGATACTTTCAGCATTTCAACAATTTATTTTAACTTTTTGAAATACAGATGAATTGCTTCACTTAATGTTCTCAACTTCACAGTAGGAAAAATTTTCATTTCATCACAAGAATCATTCTGAGTGGGCAGGGAGAGGAAAATGCAAAAGGTCAAGAATATATCATTTCACTTCTTCTCTGTGGCTGTCACCATTGAGTCTCTGAGCCAAGTCATGAAAATTATGTATAATCCCCAAAGTTTTTGGAAAGAGGAGATTTCTTTCCTTTCATTTTCTTCCTTATTTCCTTACTTTGAAGAATTGGATGGCATCACCTATGTTACTCTAAATTTGTTTTACTGTCTTCTTTCTCTCTCCCTTTCCTTTCTCTAAGTTCTAGTTCTCTGACTACAAACCTGCATAGATTTCTCCCTATTATGTAACCTGATAAAAAGAAAATTTTCACCTCTCAGGCTTTCTTTTCTCTCCTTATTCAGACAAAGGTGCTGACAACAGAGGTTGAGTGAGAAGGTAGGATGCCAGATTTTTTGTTTGTCCCTTGAATTGGGAGAGGCGAATGGTCAATTCTAAAGTAGGTATTCATATCCATTTCCAAATAGATATGAATGCAATCAAGAGCACTAAGCAAAGTCAGCCTAAGAGAGGTGGAGGACTTCAAGGAGAAGACCAGCCTTCACCATGGCACAGTATTAGCATGTCCATAGGGCAGCAATAGTTGACAGAGGTGGCTACATAATTTTTCTAAAGAAATAATATTAACTCCCAATAGGTTGCAAGCAGTATGCAGGGATTTCATAAGCTGTCAAATGTCTCAGTATGGAGATTTAAAAGTATTGATGGAGTAGGAGGCCTTAGCAAAAATTATTAAAGATAAAACTTTCAGAATAACCCAAACCTTACTTCTTGTACTCCCCAAAAAATAAAACTAACAGAAGCTCAAAGTATAAAAACACTCTTATCTTCCCACTTGGTATTATGTAAAGATTAATAGCCTCCCAAGCTGAGGAGCATTAGCAACTACTCTTTGAAACTTTTTACCGCAACTATATTGAAAAATGTGTCTTCTGTAGCTATTGCAATATCTGACACATAAAGGTGCACCACCAATGTTGGAGGAAAAAAAGAAAAGAACAAAAGAAGACAAAAAGAAAAGAAGGAGAGGCAAAGAAGTGAAAGGGGGAAGGAAGGTATAAAAGTGGTAAGAAAAGATGGAAAGAGCGAATGAAGCAAACAGGGAAAGGGGGGAAGAAAGAAAGGCAAGAATAAACAAACATTTTCTTTTCTTAATATTTAGCAGCCAAATCACAGTGATATTGATTGCCTTTTTCACTCCTATACAGTTAACAAGAAACTCTGAGGACTGTTAGAGAAAAACACAAACATATAGTAGATTATTGCCATTATAAATTCATGTTTTCTGCCATCACTTGAGCCCTCACTACTATCACCCTTTTAATACCTGTGGTCAATGTCACCTCCCACTTCCCCAACAGCTAGTTTGTACTTTGCCTCCTTTGCAGCTCACTTTTCACTCACAACAGAATTTAATAAGAAAATTGAAACCATAAACTTTTAATGTTCTGCCCTTCTACCTATAAATTAATTTGCATCCACATCATTGCTTGACTTATAGGTCCAGAGGTTGAGGAAGTTCTCCCTCTACTCGAGTTCAACTGTTCTTCATATTCTCTTGATTTTGTCTCTTGCCATTTTCTGGAGCATTTCTTCTTTTGTCTTCCATCTCTTTTATGTATCTTTATTTTATTCCCTTTTTATTGTATTTTTCTCAATACTAAAACATACTGACATACTCCTTATCCTAAAAAGGAGACTAACTTCCAAAATTCCGTGTCATTTTACTGTGTCTAGTCACTTTTCTTCCTTTCTTAACAACCTTCTAAACAAATATCTTTTTTGAAGATAGCTCTACTTCTTTTATAACCCATTCCTCAAACACTTTAATGTGTTTTCTGTCCCCTACAATGTTATTGGGTTTCTAATGACTTTGCAATTACCTCTATGACGTTGAATTTGAAGTTGCAATACACAACAAAGTTGTGTTTTAAAATTATGATCGTACTAACTCTCTATACTGCATCTTGACATTGACTGTATCCACTTTATAGAAAAATCATGGGAAAAATAATGAGTTGTAAAATATTGTTGATACCATCACATCCTGATTGTTGTCTTGTCTACCTCCACAAAAGCTTTCACTTTGATCAGGTGAGGGAAAAAAAAACTAAATTGTTAAATATGGTAGTCTGTCATTTTATTGGAAAAACACCTTCTCAGTCTTTGCCATAACTATATACCTATTTCAATTAGTGCAAGGGAGAGGAAGAAAGAGAAAAAGAAGGGATTCTGACAATAAAAGTGCCATTTATCCCAGCCAAAAGGATGCTACCATTGTCCAGCCCACGGGCCCAGTATGGTCTTCCCTTTTCGTAAGTCCTCCACCCTGTTTCTTCTCATTATGCTGCACATTCCCAGTTCTTTTAATGATTCGACGTCTGTGCCATTTTTTCCTCTTTTGTGAGATCTTCATCCTCTGCCTGTCATCTCATCATCTGTGTCTCTAGTTATTCTACCATCAGCCTGGTGCTCCTCATGAGTGACCTCATCCTCTACTTACATGCTGATGACCTCCAAATGTATGTCACCAGTCTAGACTTTTCCCCACCTCTTCAGACTCATCTATCAAACTTCTATTTAGAAATGTTCTCAATATTAATTTCCAGAACACTCACATTTGACACATCCAAAACCACAGTCACCATCTTTATCAGTCAGGATCCCAACAGGCAATTGCTGATACACTTGAAATAGGATAATTCAAGGAGATTTACTAATAAGGACACTATTTATGAAGATACCAGGGTAGAGAAATCACAAAAGAAAGTTGAGCAACACAGGGCGCTCCATCACAGGCCAAAGGAATGAAGAAAGAAAACATTAATGAAATCTTGAAGGAGAAAATCTGTACAATTATGAGAAAACATCATTGTCTATTTGGATCCATGTAAGTCAGCCTTATAGGATGAAAAAATGAATAGAGAGTACCTCTAGTGAGGCAAACAGTAGATATCCAGTGCAATGCATCCCTTAGCTTCTTAGCATTCACTTTCATCACTTTGTTGGGTGAAAGTGTAAAACATCAGTTCAGGGAATTCAAAAAGCCCCACCTGCAGGGAGTATCCATTCAGTTATTATTCCATGTGAATGCTACAATATTAGTCCAACTGATATTCTTCATATAGGGTAGTATGGAAAGAAAGACGAAAGAAACAGTTAAATAAACAGAAACTTAGCTGTTACAGTTCACAACTCCGTCGCTTGCCATGAGGACAAATTTGGTAATCCCAGCTCCTTTTTCCAACACATCTCCCGAATTCCCCTTATCCTTTGCCAACACTGCACAAAATCATTTGCCTCATAGAGTCACCCAAACCTTATCTCTGCAGGATCTGTGTCCATGGCGTTATTTTTCTTTTTTTTTTAGCTAACACCATTTTACAGTGACTGTAATATTTGGGCAAGGGAATATTAAGAGACTCTCTAGGGAATCCCCTGGATTCTAAAAGGAGTCTTTTCCTCGTTGTTTAGCAGCAAGCCAATTTGTCTCTAGTTATTAGGATTAATCGCCCCAGCAGCTAGATAATTGGCATAGAGTCCAGAAAGGCCAGGGGACTCATCTTCCAATTTGTTGGAATCATGACTGTTTTTTCTAGTGGAAGAAGCCCCACCTTGGGGACTAGGATCACCAAATCCACGAACTGAAGATCATGGGAAAAGGAAGCAAGAAATCTAGCAGAAATAAAGGTCATGGTGAGAGACAACTACTCTCATCTCTCTACCATGTTTGACACACCTGTACACACACTCTGTGAGAGAGACAGCACCATATATTAGTTATTTGTTTAAGGCATATATCACAAGCTGCACAACAGCTCCTCCAAACATCAGAAAGCATGTGTCTCAGATTTCTCCAAAATTGAATAAATCCTAGCAGTTTATTTTATTGTTCTTCCAAACAGTTGGCTGTTTCTGCATGACAAGGGATGTGGTGAAATCCTTGATAATTACCAGTGAAATCCTTGGTAAAGAGCCCATTGCCACATTTCCTCTGTAATCATGAATCACCTCTACTTAAAAGCATTGTAGTATAGGACCTTATGGCATGGGTAAGGCATTCTGAAAGTATTGAATGGTGGTGCTAGGAGAAGCACTGTAGGCAGGAAAGACAAATCCATGTGTACAACTTTGTGTCTCATGTCAAAACCCAACAGAGAGCATCTACCACAGAGTAAGAACACAGTATGATTTGCCTCATGGATGTCTACCAGCCTCTGAAATAATCCACCCTTGTGCTTTCACAATGGGCCTATGAATGGGATTGACACGTTGGCAGGGATGGAGGCTGAACATGGGCTCCTTCTAATCAAGGTTTATTGGGTTAGTGTCAGCATTGAAAGTCTAACCTATCAACTGTCAACAGTCAGAGACTGATGATAAAACTCAATATGGTTTTATAACTTGTGGAGATTAACCACACACTTGGAGGTAATGGATTATTTTGGATTCCTTCAGCTCTGAAGGTGGGCAGCGATTTGTCCTTACTGTGACTATGTGTGTTCTTGGTGTGGATTTGCCTTTCTTTCTGCAATGAGTTGTTAAATAACACCATTTTTCAAAGCCTCACTAAGGTCTGATTTACCAAACAGGATCCTGTAGCATATTAACCTGGATGAGAGGACCCACTTTATCACACAAGAGGTGTGACAGTGTGCACATGACTATGGAATCTACCAGTCCTACTATATATTGCTTCACCTGGAAGTGTGTAGAGTAATTGGACATTGGAATTGTGTCTTACAGACACAATTTAAGGCATCAGTTTGGGGATGGCACTTTGTATATAGTTGGGATACTCTCTTTGACATGCAGCATATACTTTGAAGCAATAACTGTTTTATGATACTGTGCTGCTAATAGTGACAACATATGAGTCTGGAAATGAAGAGATGGAAGTAGAATTGGCCTCCCTCAACATAATTCTACAGGAACCACTTAGGAACTTTGTGCTTTCTATGTGAAGGAATGCTTCTATCTGTTGATATAGTATGCACTTCATAAAACATAAAGCTACAGATGTTCCTTTATTCTATATGCCTGCAAATTATTAAGAAGAAAAGTGAGTTATTATATTGTTAGGGGTAATCTCTGATTGTCATAATGAGATAAGGTGGCTGCTACATAATGAAGGTAGGGAAGAAAATGTTAAAACTATGGGGATACCTTGGATCTTCTCTTAGCACTTCCATGCCCAATCAAAGCCAAGAATAGGCTATTGCAGCACCCACAGTCTTACAGGGGCAAAGTAAACAAGGTTTACATAACTTATGGGTGAAGATCTTAGTCACTCTACTGAACAAGAAAACCTAAATCCACAGAATTGCTAGCTAAGAGTAGGGAGATCTAAAATGAGTACTAGAAAAAGCACATAATAAAAGTCAAATATGGTTTTGGAACCAACTAGAGGAGCAGAGATAGTTTATTTCACTGTACTCTCTGTTTTGAGGCTTTTTTAAAGAAAAGAAAGAACTTCAACTTGCTTGAAAAGTCAATGAAAGAACAGAGAGAACTTATCATGGATATGAGTAGATCCAGGCTCTAAGGGTGGACATTGTCAGTACTCTTGACCCCAAACATTTCCATGCATTGTAATGGTTTCTTGTTTCATGCTTCTACCATTTTCTGCCTGAGTACTTTCTCTGGTTTCAGACACATTTGGTTAGCACCCTACAGGAAGGTGCCGAAGGTGTCAGGCAGCTAATATCCCTGTAATCCACCCTCAATATATCATAAATGGGTGTCGATTGATAATTTTCCAGCCTTCTTGCCACTGGGCTTGGAAAACTCTGAGGAGTATTTTTCGCTCACTATCTACCAGAGATCACCGATAACATTGAGCCCTAGCAGTCCATAACCTGCTTTTCAATGTGCCCTTCTGTGTCTGCTTCTGTATTTCTTTCCTACTGCTGCTGTAACAAATTGTACAGTGGCTTAAAACAATACAAAGTTACTATCTTACATTTCTGCAGGTCCGAAGTCCAAAGCAGGGTTCACCAGGCCAAAAGCAGGTGTTAGCAGAGCCATACTTCCTCTGGAGGCTATAGAGGAGAACCTATTTCTTGCCTTTTCAGCTTCTAGTGCCTGCTTCCTTTATCTCCCAAGAACATTATTTCAATCTCTGCTTCTGGAGTCATGTGGCTTTCTCCTCTTCTGTAATCAAACCTCCACCTACTTCCCTCTTAGAAGGACACTTGTAACAATATTTAGGGTTGAGCCTAATAATCCAGGATACTCTCTTCACCTCAAGATCCCTAACTTGATCACATCTGTAAAGACATATTTACCAGATGAGATAACATTCACAGGTTCTGAGGATTAGAACGGGCTATCTTTGGGAGCAATTATTCAGCCTGTGACAGCTTTCTTCCCTCATCTGACTCACTTCATTTGCTTTCCTACCATGCTTCCTGGAATCAGCTCTCAAACAAACTACTTGCATTTAAATTCTAATCTTACAGTCTGCATGTGACATTAGGATAGCTTCAATTACTTACCGGTGACTCCTGTTAACAAAGCCTCTCTCCCTTGATTCTAGCAATAAAACATCCTGTAAATAATAATAATATTCCTGTAAATAATATTGTATTGCCTTTATATGCAACTTTCTGACAGTATGTTTAAAATTTCACATAACCAATGTTGATAGTTTAGGTACCAATGAATTTCCAAATCTTAAGGACCACAATAACATACAGGAATTGTCCCCTACTGTCTTCCTCAGCAAGCAAGTTTCTCCCCCAAATATCTTGGACTGGTTTCATTTCCACAACTGCACCAAGTCTTTTCTTCCTGCTTTAGGTGTTTTGTTCCTTCCATCCCAAAGTTAAATTCTTCCATTCATTGCTTAGTTAAGCCCTACTCATTCCTCAGGTCTTACTGTAAACATGCCCCAGAATGATCTTTGACACCCCATCAAAATTAAGTCTCCCATTTATAGTAGAGCCCCTAACATCTTATAATTTCCGCCTTTTTTTATCTCTTGTCACCATTTGCAATTATATGTGAATCTGATTAGTCCTGAGCATCTGCTACCCTAGTAGCCTCTAATTTCACAAATCAAAGGTCATATCTGATAAGTTCATAAACACAGTGCCTATTAGTAGGTCTGCCACATGGGAAGTAATCAGTGCATATTTTGTGAATAAATGAATAAAGGAAACTCTAAAAGCCACCTTAGTCTTGCAATGCATTGTCTGGGCTGGATATCTCATATAAAAGGAGTGAGTATGCTTTTTATTTTATTTTATCTGATCTGTTTTTGTCAGGAGTGTAGTACAGAATATCCTTTTAAATGCAATGAATAAAATATTTAAATTCCATAAATAATCTTTTCTTTTCAATTTTATTCTGAAGGCTATAAATATTTAGTGTTTTGTTCACTTTTATATTTTATAGCATAAGCTAATTTCTCTTCTCTGCAAAACAGATAAGCAGTATTACAATCTATGTAAATAGGTAGCATTAGCATTTGTGGTTCCTAATCTTAGCTAAGCACTGGCATTCATTAAGACCATTTATCTTTTTTTTACTTTTCTCCAATTTTCTTCTTTTTCTTTGTGCTTATTTCTCAAAGCTAATCTTCTTTGGACTGTTTTTCTTTTCTAGGCAGAAGCAAGAAAAACAGTAACTATCATTATCAATTTAAACATTGCACAATGAAGATGAAAGTAGTTCTTTTTTTTTAATGGTTTCCTTCTGTTTCTTTCTTCTATGATTTACAACAGTTTTCATACATCTATGTTTTCATAATTTCCTCTTCCTATCTACAACTTCCCTACTATGTTTTCATGCCATTCCAAGGACTCACTCAATCATCACCAAAAATTTTTCAACCAAATTGGAAACTCAATTTATTTAAAGCTCATTCATTTAACAAATTCATTCAACAAATATTCATTCATTCATTCACTCATCCACTCAACAAATATTCACTAAGTACATATTCTAAGCCACTCTTAGAAGCTAAGGATTCAGCAGAGGACAGAATAAAGTGCCTGCTTTTATAAAGTTTAGAATTTCTGGCACAAGCTAAGAAAATGATGGTATAAATAACCATATCAACATAGGATACAAGGGCTCTAGGAAAAAAATAAAATCAGTTAAGTGGAATAGGAATTGTCTTGGGGCATTTGTATGAGGATGATTCCTATTGTGAACAAAGCAAAAACTTTAATGAAAAGGTGACTTTTATTCAGGGTTCAGCAGAGAAACAGAATAATAGGATGGAGTGAGAGAGAAAGAGAGGTTTGTTTTAAGAAACTGGCTCACACAGATGTGCTGGTAAGTCTGAAATATGAAGAGCTGGCCAGCAGGCTGGAAATTCCAGCAGGTGTTAATGTTGCAGTCTTGAGTCCCAAAGCAGTCAGAAGGCAGAGTTCCTTCTTCCTCAGGGGACATCAGTCTCTTAAGACTCTCAACTAAATGGACAAAGTCCATCCACATTATAGAGAGTAACCTGCCTTACTCAAAACCTACTGATTTAAATGTTAATTACATCTTTAAAACTACCTTCACAGCAACATCTAGGCTGGTATTTGACCTAACAACTGAGCATCACAGCCTAGCCAAGTTGACACACAAAATTAACTATCACAGTGACATTTCAGAAAAACTTGGAAATTTGAGAAAGAATAAGCCACGTGCCTGTTGGAGGGAGGGGAGGAAAAGTTTTTAGGCAGGGGACACAGCAGTGCAAAGCTGAAGTAGAGTGTTTATGAGCAGGGAGGAAACCAGTGGAGATGAAGCAAAAGGTGTGTGTGTGTGTGGACTGAGGGGAGCGTTACTGGGCTCTGATGTCTCAGAGGTAGTGAGGGGTCATACTACAAAGGCTTTGGCAAGAATAAAAACAACTTTGGATTTTACTGGGTTATAATCAGATGGGTAACATGACTTGGCTTTTTTTAAGGATTGTTCTGAATGCTAGGTTAAAGATAGACTACAGAGGCACAAGGGTAGAAGAGAGAGACAAATCAAGCAGCAATAAATGAGGGAGGAGATGAGTGGTTTTGACAGAGATGCTGAGAAATATCAGATCCTGAATATACATATAGGCCTCATTGTGCTCTTCTTTTCATTTCCTATATTCAAAGCACAGCATTGATTGCATATTTAGGTAACAAAAAGTTCCATTTACTGAAATTAATTAAACCACTGAGTTTTAGACACAGAGAATTTAGATAACAAGGGTTACCTGCATTGTGAGGGTTGGACCTAACAGAATCTTCTAATGGATCATATGTAGGTAGAAGTGGGGAGACTAGAGTAACTCCAGCTGCATAAAAAACTGGAAAGATGAAGTTGAATTTACTCAAATGCAAATAATTGCAGACAAACAAGTTAAGTTTAAGATGTTTACTAGACATGTGAATGGAAAATAAGTGGGCATATAGACAAATCTGGCGTTCATGGGAAAGGTTTAAGCTATAGATACAAAATTAAAAATTGTCAGTATATAAGGCAAGTGGTCATTTTGAAGGATATCAGATTCGCTACCAAAATGTTTCCCCAGATTTTCCTTCCTATATGGTTCTATGGTAGGGTGGGCCAGACAAGACATTTGTGTAAGATTTGGAAAGCAGAAGTTTGCCAGAAGGCACAAAGTTCTGAAGTTTGGAGCACCAGGCATTGCTGTAAACATGCTGTTGTTGTCACTGATCGGCTTGTGCACCTTAATGGCATGTGGCAGTACACAGGCTACAATTCCTCTAGCTCCCACCAAATTTCTTTCTTCATCTCCTCCAAGGTCTGGACCCACCTAGGTGTAGTTCCCTGAGGAAGGGTACTAGCTTCTTCCATTTTGTCCAAGTTGGAGGCAGGTTCCAGTTTCTCCTTATGAAATCCAGTTTCTGCTCATTTATTGGATCTGGGTTGTTCCCACTCTCCCAAGCTTCACATCCAGATTTTCTTCCAACCGCCAGCCATTGAGGATTTCCAATAACCTTAAGCTCATACCATATGCAGAGCCAACAGCCCTCCACAGACTTCACCAGCAACCAGAGCAGTTATAACACCTGTAATGAATCTCTTATTCCATATCATTCATGGGGGTTTTGCTTCCCTGATCAAACTCTAACTGATGTAAATGGCACTTAAAGCTGTAAAACTAGAGAAAATTACTGAAGGATTATAACATAACTATGGAAAATAATATGTAAGGATTGGGCCTTGGCTCAGTCCTATCTTTAAAGGTCAAATTTATGAGAAAAAAAGAAGCAAGCAAGACTGAGAAGTAGCAACCAATATGTTATAAAAAAGAAAAGCAGAAAGTTTTAGAAAAGAGTGTGACCAATTACACCATATATTATTGATATGTTAGGAAAGATAAGCAATGAGAGTTGGCCATTGTACCAGATGGAGTTAAATAAGCAAAGAAGATTCACAATAGGAAAGAAAGATTGAACTCAACTCCACTGAGACAAAGGTGAGAGGGATTTTAGAAGGAATGGTGAGCTAATAGAAAAGTCCTAGAGGACACTAGGAGAGGTTGGTCAATAAGATTAGGCCATTTGTGTTTGCTAATTTGGTGCTTATCCAAGTTAGACTCCTACACTCCCACAGACCAGGATATAGGGGTGCTAACTTTCTTGATGATTATATCTCAAAGGGACAGCTCTCAGGTCCTTGAGAAAGACAGTCCTGAGTTGTAAAACTGACAAGAGTCTGAGAGATTTGTATCAAAGGGACAAAGATAGAACTTACAATTGCAAGTGTTCTGAAGTAAATGATCTAAGAAAAGGGAGGTCAGAGGCCTGTAGTCAAGAAGAAATCTGTCTAAAGTTTAGTCAAGCTGCAGGGAATGTTAAAGCCTGTCTTGGCCAGTTTATCAATGGAGAAATCATTAGTGATCTTGGAAAGAGCAGTTTTGGAGCTCAAGGCAAGGGACTGAAGTGAGTAGGTTCAAGAGAAAAGGAAAGAAGAGGAAAAAGAGACAGAATATAGACAGCTCTTAAGGAATTTTGCTGTAAAGGAAGTAGAGAGATGACCTGATAGCAGGAGGCAGAAGTGGCAACCAAGAGAAGGTGTTTTCGATGAGAGAAATAACTGCATGTTTATATGCAAATAAAACTGATCCAGGTGAGAGTGAAATATTAATCATGCTTACAAAAAAGAGGAGAAATGCTGGAGGATGTTCTTGAGTAGTCAAGAGAAATAAGTTCTAATGTACAATTTAAAGGGTTGGCCTTAGATAGCAGCACTAACTGCTAATTATATTAACAGGAGGAAGGGTACAGTCTTTTAGATTCGGGGCAAGAAGGAGGGAAGATGTATTGGTGGTAACGTGTGAAGGTCTCTTCTGTTTGCTACAAGAGAAAGTATGATTTTCAGCTAAGCATGAAAATGGAGGATAAACTGATAAAAGCATAAAAATGGAGGATAAACTGATAAAAGATTAAGATGTGAGGAGAAGATATGATACTGTTAGCTGCCCAAGAACAATAAAAACATGAATGGACTGGAAAACATGAATTGCCGAGGCCACACTAAGGGTTAACTAAAAATTAGTGCCCATAAATTTAAACTGAGACCAGTCAGCATAATTATATGCTTTCTCCAAATTAAGTTTTACTGTTACAGGTGCAATCGAACAGTTTGTGAAGAATTAGGTTTGACCAGGATGGGACGTTTGCCATGTGAGCATGTTAAATGTAGAAACTTTGAAGATTATATGTTCATTACTACAGTTGTCCCTCAGTATCCACAGGGGATTGGTTTCAGGACCCCCAACGATACGAAAATCCATGGATGCTCAAGTCCTTTATATAAAATAGCGTAGTATTCACATGTAACCTATGCATAGCCTCCTATATACTTTAATTATTTTTAAATTACTTATAATACCTAATACAATGTAAATGCTATATAAACATAGTCATGAGTAGCAATAACAACTTTCTCAATGGCAGATCACATATATGAAAATGGTCCATACGATTAAAATGGAGCTGAAAAATTCCTATTGCCTAGTGACTTCATGACACTCATAACATCATAGCACAATGCATTACTTATGTGTTTGCGGTGATGCTGGTATAAACAAACCTACAGTCTCCCAGTGATATAAAAATATAACAATATAATTGTTTACAGTACATAGTACTTGATAATGATCATAATCAACTGTGTTACTGTTTAATGTATTTACCATATTATACTTTTAATTGCTATTTTAAAGTGTATTTCTTCTTTATAAAGAAAGAAGTTAACTGCAAAACAGCCTCAGGCAGGTCCTTCAGGAGATATTCCAGAAGAAGACATCATTATCATAGGAGATGACAGCTCCACGCACGTAAGTGCCCCTGAAGACCTTATAGTAGGGCAATACGGAGGTGAAAGACAGTGATATTGATATCCTGCCCCTGTGTAAGCCGAAGCTAGTGTGTATATTTGTGTCTTTACTTTTAACAAAAAAAAAAAGTTTTAAGAGTTTTAAAAAATAAAAAATTTTTAAAGTAGGAAAATGCTCTATATAATAAGAATTTAAAGAAAAAAATATTTTTGTACTACTCTACAATGTGCTTGTATTTAAGGTAAGTGTTATTACAAATGAGCCCATGATAAGGCAGTAAGTAACTCAGATATAAATCCAGTATGGGGTTTCAGAAGCTGGGCTCCGAATCACTTCATTGCAGATGTCTATGAATTAAATGGCCTGCCTGAAGCTATTCAGCATAAAATGTGGATAGATTTTAATTAGAAAATTAGTTAGAAAAACATACACCCATGAAACAAAGACTGAGAAAAACAGATTGGTATCATTATATTATTATATAGTGCTTATAGATTAGAAATTCTCATATAGAATATAGAATAAGAGTTGTCAGAATGGATTTTAAAGCATGGGTAGCATATGAAGACAAGGAAGGAAACCACCCCAGATGGTGGGATAGCAGTAAGTCTAGGAAATGGCCTTGAACCTAGTGCATTGAGGAAGAGAGTAACAGATGAGACAGGGATAAGGTGAGATTAAGTTTGGATAGGGGCAGTGGGAAGTAAATCTTGGAGGAGTTAGCAATGGGAATAAATTTGTAGAGTAGGGGTTTTACAGAGGATTCCTTAAGATGTATCCAACAGAGTTTACTAAGCTTGATTGGTTGGTATTGTGAATGCCTTCTGATGAGTCTCGTAAGAGCAAACCACACTTGATCCCATGGGGCATGAGGGAGCCAGCAGCCATGGGAATGTATGGAGAGGAGGGGCTGTGGCTACATTATATTCATCTTTTTCCCTCCCACTTCCTTAGCCCATTTTCTTTACCAACACCTATTAGATATTTAATAAATGTTAAATAGAATAATGAATAAGTATTAATGGGATTTAATTATTAACTGAATAAGGTAATAAAGAACATTTTTGTCTGTTTCTTAAGTACTTATTTCCTCCTTTTATCAAATTTTTAATTTTATAATTGATATATAATAATTATATATGGTTATGGGGTACAAAGTGTTGTTTCAACACATGAATACATAGTATAATGTTCAAATCAGGGTAATTACCATATCCATCGTTCAATGCTTAATGTCTGTGTTTTAAAATTTTTCGTAGACCTAGAAAATATTAATGACAAAATATTGACAAGGGAAAGAAGTTTAGAAAGAATAAAAGTTTCAGAGCACCAGGATAAGTATAAAAACAGTGCTTATCAGCAATTCACTTGCGTATGTCAGAATTGCTCATTAGTGGAGTAACAGAAGTCACCCCTAGCAACTAAACCTGTTAAAAAAAATAATGATTTCTAGTCACAAATTTATTGTGCAGTGCCAGAAGAATAATGAAGAGAAGTGTATCTTTCTCCTTTCTTTTTTTCCTTGTCCCTGGGTGGAAAGCATGAGAGCAACACAATAATAGCAGCAGCTGTGCTTTTAGATATCTCCCTCCTACTGAAATAGGGTTGTTCAGTGAGATGCAAACCTGGTGTGTAATTATATATTTACAAGGCATACATAATAATAGCTGTATGCTAAACACTAAGGAAGTAAAATGAAAAATAAAAAAAATACTGAGTAGTGAATGTAAAGAAGCTACAAATACTCTGCTGCTCAGTGTACCATGCACAGTCCTTTATGAATAAATTTCATGTGTGCAAATGAAGTAAGAGAAGTTAATTTGACAGCTAACAATATCAAGTGGATAAATTACCCTTTGGAAAACTGTTATGAACTTAGATAGTGTTTCTCCCAATTTTCTCAAGCTTTGGTGGGTGAAATTGTTAGACCTGGGTTTTTCTCGCTTCTAAAAATAGAATTGTAGTGATTCGTGGTTAGTGAGGTGGTTTGAACTGTGTCAACTTGCTTAATCTGAAATCTGTTGTCCCAGAATTCCCTGCAGGGTTCTGCATCAGAGCAATGTGTATGCAATTTGGAAAACAGAGGTAACGCAGCAGCCATTGATTGAAGTAGTTATATTTACATGCAATGACAGAAACGAGCAAAGATGTCACAGGTTCTAACTTGTCCTCCTTCTCCCTGGCTCCACATCCAGCTTTTTTCCCTCCTGCCAGACTCACCAGCTGTGGCTTCAGGTCCATCTACAGACTATGAGTTGTGGACCTTCAGAAGCAGCTGAAGCAAAGAAATTCCCACTGATTACTTTACTTTATTAAAATAAAATTTTTTAAAAATTGTTATTTCAATAGCTTTTGGGATACACATGATTTTTGGTTACATGGATAAATTAGATGGTAGTGAATCCTGAAATTTTCAGGTGCCTGTCACCCAAGTAGTGTACATTGTACATAATATGTAGTTTTTTTAATACCTACCCCTCCATTCTAATCTCTCCCTTCTGAGTCTCTAAAGTTCATTATATCACTCTATATTCCCACAGCTTAGCTCTCACATGTAAGTGAGAATGTACAGTTTTTGGTTTTCCACTCCTGAGTTAATTCACTTAGAATAATAGCCTCCAGCTCCATCCAAGTTGCTGCCAAAGACATTATTTTGTCTCTTTTTATGGCAGAGTAGTATTCCTTGGTGTATATATACCTATACATACGATATTTTTTTTATCCTCTTGTTGGTCTACACTTAGTTTAGTTCCATATATTTGCAATTGTGAATGGTGCTACTATAAACATATGTCTGCAAGTTTCCTTTTCATATAATGACTTTTTTCCTTTGAGTAAATACTCAGTAGTGGGGTTGCTGGATCAAATGACAGTTCTACTTTTAGTTATTTAAGGAATCTCCATACTGTTTTCCATAGAGGTTGTACTAATTTACATTCCCACTGGTGATGTAAAAGTGTTCCCTTTTCACCACTTCCACATTAACATCTATTGGCTTTTGATTTTTTTAATAATGGCCATTCTTGCAGGAGTAATGTGGTACCTCATTGTGGTTTTAATTTGCATCTCCCTGATTATTAATGATGTTGAGCATTTTTTATACTTTTGTTGGCCATTTGTATATCTTCTTTTGAGAAATATCTATTCATGACCTGTGCCCACTTTTGATGGTATTATTTCTTTTTTCTTGCTGATTTGTTTGAGTTCCTTGTAGATTATGAATACTAGTTCTTGTTGGATGTGTAGTGTGCAAATATTTTCTCCTATTCTGTGGGTTATCTGTTTGCTCTGCTAATGATTTCTTTTGCTGTGCAGAAGCTTTTTAGTTTAATTGCGTCCCATTTATTAATTTTTGTTTTTGTTTCATTCGCTTTTGGGGTCTTAGTCATGAATTCTTTGCCTAGGTCAATGCCTAGAAGAGTTTTTTCAATATTGTCTTCTAGAATTTTTGTGGTTTCAGGTTTTATATTTAAGTCTTTGATCCATATTGAGTTGACTTTTGTATAAGGTAAGAGATAAGGATCCGGCTTAATTCTTCTGTATGCGGCTTGCCAGTTTTCCCAGCACCATTTATTAGATAGGGTGTCCATTTCCCAAGTTATGTTTTTGTATGCTTTGTCAAAGATCAGTTGGCTGTACAAATTCGGCTTTATTTCTGGATTCTCTTTCTCTTCCATTGACCTATGTGCCTACTTTTATGCCAGTACGATGCTGTTTTGGCAACTATAGCCTTGTAGTATAATTTGAAGTTCAGGAATGTGATGCCTCCAGATTTGTTCTTTTTGCTTAGGATTGCTTTGACTATTCAGGCTCTTTTTTGGTTCCATATGAATTTTAGGATTGTTTTATTTCTAATTCTGTGAAAATGACGTTGACATTTTGCTAGCAATTGCATTGAATCTGTAGATTACTTTGGGCAGTATGGTCGTTTTCACAATATTAACTCTTCCAATCCAAGAGCAAGGGATGTGTTTTCACTTGTTTATGTCATCTATGATTTCTTTCAGCAGTGTTTTGTAGTGCTCCTTGTAGAGATCTTTCACCTCCCTGGTTAAGTATATTCCTAGGTATTGCTATTATTATTATTATCATTATTATTATTATTATTATTATTATTATTTGCAGATGTTGTAAAAGAGATTGAGTTCTTGATTTGATTCTCAGCTTGGTCACTGTCGATGTATGACAGTGCTACTGATTTGGGTACATTGTTTTTGTAACCTGAGACTTTATTGAATTCATTTATCAAATCTAGGAGCCTTTTGGAGGAGTCCTTAGGATTTTCTAGTTATACAATCATATCATCTGCAAACAGTGATAGTTTGACTTTCTGTTTTCCAATTTGGATGCCCTTTCTTTCTTTCTCTTGTCTAATTTATCTGGCTAGGACTTCCAGAACTATGTTGAATAGGAGTGGTGAAACTGGGCATCCTTTTCTTGTTCCTGTTTTCAGGGGGAATGCTTTCAACTTTTCCACATTCAGTATGATGTTGGCTGTGGGTTTTTCATATACGCCTTTTATTATTTTTAGATAAGTCTCTTCTATGTCTGGTTCACTGAGAGTTTTTATCATAAAGGGATGCTGGATTCTGTTGAATGCTTTTACTACATCTATTGGGATGATTATATGGTTTTTGTTCTTGATGTGTCACATCTATTGACTTGTGTACTTATGTTAAACCAACCCTGAATCCCTGGGATGAAACCTACTTGATCATGGTGTATCATCTTTTTGATGTGCTGTTGGATTCAATTTGTTGGTGTGTGTTGCTAATGTTTTGTTGAGGACAACTGCGTCTATATTCATCAGGGATACTGGTCTGTAGTTATGTTTTATGTTACGTCCTTTCCTGATTTTGATATCAGGATGATACTGGCTTCATAGAATGATTTAGGGAGGATTCTCTCTCAATCTTTTGGAATAGTTTGAATAGGATTGGTATCAATTCTTCTTTGAACATCTGGTAGAATTCAGCTGTGAATCCATCTGGTCCTGGGTTTTTTGTTGGCAATTTTTTTTATTACTGATTCAATCCTGCTGCTTGTTATTTGTCTGTTCGGGGTTTCTATTTAATCCCGATTTAATCTAGGAGGGTTGTATGTTTCCAGGAATTTATCCATTTCCCCTAGGTTTTCTAGTTTGTGTGCCTAAAGGTATTTGCAGTAGTCTTGAATGATCTTTTGTATTTCTGTGGTGTCAGTTGTAATGCCTATAGTTTCATTTTTAATTGAGCTTATTTGGATCTCCTCTCTTCTTTTCTTGGTTAATATCACTAATGGTCTATCAATTTTATTTATATTTTCAAAGAACTAGCTTTTGTTTCATTGATATTTTGTATTTTTTGTTGTTGTTCTGTGCCAATCTTTGCTATTTCTTTCCTTCTGCCAGCTTTAGGTTTAGTTTGTTCTTGTTTCTCTAGTTCCCTGAGGTGTGACATTATGTGTTGATTTGTGCTTTTTCAGACTTTTCGATGTAGGCATTTCGCACTAAAATTTTCCTCTTAGCAATGCTTTTGCTGTATCCCAGAGGTTTCAATAAATTGTGTCATTATTATCATTCAATTCAAAGAATTTTTAAGTTCCATCAGGATTTATTTATTAACCCAGAAATCCTTCAGGGGCAGATTATTTAATTTCCATGTATTTGTATGGTTTTGAGTTTGGAATTGATTTCTAGTTTTATTCCACTCTGGTCTGAAAAGATAATTGATATGATTTTGATTTTTAAAAGTTTATTGAGACTTGTTTTGTGGCCTGTCATATGGTCTATCTCGGAGAATATTCCATGTGCTAATGAAAAAAAAATGTATATTTTGCAGTTCTTGCTTGCTTATTGCTAAGGTAAGCATCTAGTGCTTTCCCAAAACCCTCTTATTGCCCCTCCATCCTTCAGGAGGAAACACCACCCTCCTGGATTCTTTCTCGATGAGTAACCTGGGGCCCTGGAGCTGGCCCTGTGAATGACGGGGGATCAAAACCAGGTCCTGTAGCTACTGGGGGGAGCTGAAGTGGTAAGACCACATGCTTGGGTATAAAGTTCTGTAAATATCTGTTAAGTCCATTTGTTCTGGAATCTGGTTTAAGTCCATTATTTCTTTGTTGACTTGCTGCCTTGATGATCTGTCTAGTGCTTTCAGTGGTATGTTAAAATCTTTCACTATTATTGTGTTGCTGTCTATTTCATTTCTTTGGTCTAGTAGTAATTGCTTTAGAAATCTGGAGCTCTGTTGGGTGCCTATAAATTTAGGATTGTAATATCTTCTTGTTGCATTGGTCCTTTTTTCATTATATAATAACCTCCTTTGTTTTTTTTTAACTGCTGTCGCTTTGAAGTCTGTTTTGTCTGATATAAGAATAGCTATTCCTGCTCAATTTTGGTTTCCATTTGTGTGGAATATCTTTTTCCACCCCTTTACCTTGAGTTTATATGAATCCTTTCATGTTACCTGAGTCTCTTGAAGACCACAGATATTTGATTTGTGATTTTTTATATCCTTTCTGCCATTCTGTATCTTTTAAGTGGAGCATTTAGGCCATTTACATTTAATGTTAGTATTGAGATGTGAGGTACTATTCTCTTTCATCATGTTAATTTTTACCCAGATTGTTTGTTGTTATTGTTGTTGTTGTTGCTGCGTTATTTTTTTACAGGCCCTGTGAGTTTCAGGCTTTCAAGAGACCTATTTTGGTGCATATCAAGTTTTTGTTTCAAGATTTAAAACTCCTTTTAACAGGTCTTGTAGTACATATTTAGTAGTGATAAATTCCCTCAGCATTTATTTGTACGAAAATGACTTTATTTCCTCTTTATTTATGAAACTTAATTTTGCTGCTGGACACAAAGTTCTTGGCTGGCAGTTATTCCGTTTAAGGAGGCTGAAGATAGGACCACAAACCCTTCTGACTTGTAAGATTTCTGCTGAGAAGTATGCTGTCAACCTGATAGGTTCTCTTTATAGGTTACCCGATGCTTTTTTCTTTCTGCTTTTAGAATTATTTCCTTCACATTGACTTTAGATAGCCTTGTGACTATATGTCATGGTGAAGATCTTTTTGCAATGAATTTCCCATGAGTTCTTTGAGCTTCTTAGATTTGGATATCTAGATCTCAAGCCAGGCACGGGAAGTTTTCCTCAATTCTTTCCTCATACAACTTTTCCAGATTTATTGTTTTCTGTTCTCTTTCAGGAACACCAGTGATTCATAGGGTTTTCGGTCAGGCTTCTGAGCCCAAGCCTGCATGTATACATCCAGATGGCCTGAGACAACTGAAAAGTACAAAAGAAGTGAAAGAGCCAGCTCCTTTCTTAACTGATGGACAAACCTTACAACATTCCATTATGATTTGCTCCTGCCCTGTCCCAAATGATTGATCGATGGACCTCGTGACATTCTTCTTCTGGAAAATGAGTCTTATGATCTCCCCACCAAGAACCTTGCGACGCCAACCCCTGCCCGCAAGAGAAAAACCCCCTTTAACTGTAACTTTCCACTGCTTATCCCAGTCCCATAAAAGTGCCGCATCTCTAACTCCCTTCACTGACTCCTTTCTCAGACTCAGCCCACTTGCACCCAAATGAATAAACAGCTTTGTTGCTCACACAAAGCCTGTTGGTAGTCTCTTCACACGGACGCATGTGGTATTTTCCATTTTACATAATCCCATTTTTCTTGGACACTTTGCTCATTTCTTTTGATTCATTTTTCTTCATTTTCACCTGATTGGGTTAATTCAAAAGTTTGTTCTCAACTTCTGAAATTCTTTCTTCTGCTTGTTCTATTATTAATAATTTTCACTGCATTTTATAATTCCCTAAGTGTGTATTCCATTTCCAGAAATTCTGATTGGTTTTTCTTTATGATAGCTATCTCTCTAGAAAATTTTTCATTCATATCCTGAACTGCTTTTTAATTTCATTATGATGGTTTTCACCTTTCTCTCATATTTCATTGAGTAGCTTGATAATCAACCTTCAGCATTCCTTATCTAGTATTTCAAAGTTTTCATCTTGGTTCGGATACATTGCTGGAGAGCTAGTGTGATCTTTCGGAGGTGTTATAGAACCCTTTTTTGCCATATTACAAAAGTTACTTTTCTGGCTCCTTCTCAATTGAGTAGACTATTTCTTCTAATTATTCTTGAATTTATGTTTGGTTTGACTGTTTTTTAAAATTTCTTTTTTCCCCTAATCATGTGATTTTAATGGCGATGGTTTATTACAGCCTAATTCTATACTTGGTGATCTCAATGGTAAAGACTCTGTTAGAGTTCCTTGGCTATAGACAGTCTTTATATAAATGGTTTTCTCATATGCTGCTTATAGTAGCAATGTGCTCAGTGTGTGAGCAAGTTTACTGTTGCCTATGGGGTTGGAATGTTAGTAGTCTCTTGGAGCTTATTTCATTCTCCCATGTCATGCACTCCTTTATTTATTAATTTTTCCCCAGTATTTTATTTAGTGGTTTGATGGTCCAGGCTTCAGGACAGTAGGGGAGGTGTCCCTGGGTAGGAACCAACTGTAGCTAAAGCAGGTGGGTAAATGCAATACCCAGTGATGAACAGAGGTCCCAGCCTTGAGAGAAGTGGCTGGAGGAGCTCTCCATGAGTCACACTGAGGTCATGTCAAGAGAAAGGGGGGAAGCCACCTAAGCTCCCCTAACAGTTCAGTAGGAAAGCTATCCACCCCTCAGACACACTCCTGCCTCAGCTCTCTGGCTATTCAGATTAGACAAGCACCTCTTTTCATCTGTAGGAATGTGGATGTTCCAAGTAGTGGGGGATTGTGACTCTGTCTCTCATGCAATCCTGAACCTGGAGGGTGCTCCTCCAGTGGGGATGCAGTACCCTGACATGTTCCAGAAAGATTATCTATAGTTGCACCTATGCAGAGTTCCTGTGATAGAAGCCCCCACTGTGTCTGCTGTGGTGGGTAAGTGGGGAAAGATGTCCCCTACTCTAAGACCCTTCGTGTGCAGTAGGGATATCAGACTGTTGGGTTAGAACTACAGACTTGCCGTGCTGAGCCAAGCACTGCAACTGTACCTCTGCTGAAAGAAACTTCCCACCAGTGCAAAGATCTGGTGCTCACATTCTGCTGTCCACATTCCTCTGTCCCACAGGGTGTTCTTTTAATATGGTACACTCCCCCTTCCCCTAGGAGTGGGAGTCCGTGGGATCCAGACTACTGTCAGTGTTGTTGCTTCTCTGCGTCTAGCTGCCCAGCAAAGTTACTACACTCAAGGCTGGTGCTGGGGAATGTCTCCAAGGGATCCAGTGATGTGATCTTTCTTCAAGTCTCCCAGCAGTGGGTAGCAGCATCAGCTCTAATGAAGGTGGCAATGGAGTGACATAGACTCTGTGAGATTCTTTAGTTATAGATAACCTTAGTTTGTTGGCTTTCTTGAATGCTGGTTATAGTAATAATGAACTTGTCATGTGGAAAGACCCAGGACCTCCTGGTTAGCCAGAGTGCTGCAGACAGTGGTGATAGCTGAGGTCACACAGCCGTTTTCTCCTTCCTGGGAGCAGTGTTATTCTATCAGGAGATGCTGTAATGGACTGTGTTGATTGGCCTCCAGTCAGAAGGTAGTGCTTGCAAAAGAGCACCACCTGAGGTGGTAGCAGTGGGATTTTTGCTTGCCTTATGTTGCCCAGGAGGGTAATGGTTTCTCAGGCAATGGGTGGGGCCATAAAGCTCCCAAGAGTTTCTGTCCTTTGCGTTAAGCTACCAGGGAGGGTGTCCAGGCAAAGCCAGATGGGGGCTGGGTCAAGCAGGTTTGTACTCTGACTCTCAGCACACAGGGCAGCAGCTCCTGTGGGTGTCAGTGGATGGGGGTGATTCTCAGGCCACTGGGTTGACGATCCAGAAGGAAGTGCTGCTGTCTCTGCTGCACAGGAGACTTCACACAGGGAGTGGGGCGTAGCAGTCAGCAGTAAGCTCTATGCAGATCCCATGCACTTGGTGAAGCATATCCTGTTCCTGCAGTGTTCTACTAGCAGCAGCAAGCTAAGTTCCTGGCAGCCTGCACTCAGAACTCCCAGCTGACCCAGGTCATAAGCTTTCCGTCAGAAATAGCAACCTTGGCTTTCAGTGAGGCCTCCCCATCCACCCGCAAACCTGGGAGCTGGCTTCTGCACCTGCATTCCTGGATGCGGCACTCCCTCAACCCACCTTCCCCACCCCACCGCCACCACCACCGCTACCCAGCCCTGGCCAAGGGAGTTCATTCCCACCTGAGGTTATATTGGTTATATCGTGAAACCCAGTTGGGGGCATCTTTCAATCTGTGACCACTGCTTGAATTATATTTTGGCTGATCTCCACAGGGTTCCCTGTGAGGAACAATAAGGAATGGTTTCCCTTGGTCTGGACTGTTGATTGGGAGTGCACACAATGGTCTTCCCAACACTCCTCCTACTTTTATGTTCCATGACCCTCCCCAAGCTGGCACCTGCTCTGGGTAGAGTTAAGGTCTTCCTCTGTGGCCTGAACTTTCAAGCTCCCAGTTGGGGTATGTATCCTGGAGGCAGTCTCTCCCCCTCTCTCACTCGGAACTCAGAGGCCTTCCTCTAACTCAAGGTGTAGTCTGCAGCCTGATACTTCCTTCAAAGGGTCTGTGGATTTCTTCAGTTTTCCTGTTCAGTTCCTGTGCCACTTCTGGAAAAAAAGCTCACAGCTTGAATCTCTACACACTATTTTGTCCTTCCAAGTGGGGGAGAAATGCTAGAAATGCCTCTAATCCACCATTTTGTGAAAAAGAAAAAAAGAAAAAATCTAAAATATAATTTAATAAATTAATATGCATACATTTTAAGTGTAGTTCAATGAGTTTTGACAAATATATGCACCCATTTGTATACATGCATATGCCTACCTTTACAAATGAGATATTAATTTGATTATATTTCTACCACCCAGAAAGCTCCCTTCTCCATTTGTAATCAATGCCTCACGTCCCCATCCCCAGAAAACCACTGATCTGACTTTTATTACTCTAAATTCATTTTTCCTATTCTAGAACTTTGTATACGTGCCATCATATATTAAGTACTATTTTGTGGTCGGCTTCTTTTGCTCAGTATGTGTTTCAGAAGTGTCCATGTTGTATTCATCAATATTTCATTCGTTTATTTTTATTTTTTGCTTTGAGTAGTATTCCATCATATGAATAAGCCACAATTTGTTTATTCATTCATTTATATTTGGCTGGTTTCTGGTTTTCAGATTTACAAATAAACAATTCTGAACATTTCTCTGTGTGTCTTTATGTGACAGGTTTTCACACATTTAGGTAAATACAGAAGAGTGGAACTAGTAGGTCATATATAGAGAGTCCATATTTAAACTAAACACAGCCAATTTTTTTTCTAAAGTGGTTGTGCTGTTTTATACTCCCACCAGCAATGTGTGAGAGTGCCAATTATTTCACATTCACTCCAACACATGATACTAAATCTTTTTAGTATTAGCCATAACAGATGGTCTGAAATCATACTGCATGTTGGCTTTAATTTACATCTCCTTAATGACTAATAGTATTTTCATATACTTGTTAACCATTAGTATCTTCCTTTTTGAAATGTCTGTTCTAATTTTTTTGTCTTTTTAACTTTTTAAATTAAATTATTGAGTTATAGGAATTCATTTTACATTTTGGATAATTATTTAGATTTATGTACTACAAATATTTACCCCTAGTCTGTGGTTTACCCTTTTATTTTCTTAATGATATCTTTTGAAAAGTTTTAAATTTTGACAAAATTCAGTTTACCTTGCTTTATTATTTTATGGCTAGTGTTTTTTATAACCTGTCTGAAAAGATCTTTGCGTAATGTAAAATTGCAAGGTTTCTTCCCATGTTTTGTTTCTAGAGGTTTTATCTTTTTTGACTTTTATATTTGGGCTTATGATCAGTTTCAAATTATATATATATATATATCATATATATATATCATATATATATATATCATATATATATATCATATATATATCACATATATATGATATGAGTTATGCTGGAGGTTTACTTTTTCTGGATGAAAAATATGTTCTTCCAGTACTATTTGTTGAAGAGGATTTTTACAAAAAATATGCTAGAATTTTGACTGGGATTATGATGCACCTATAGATCTATTCAGGGAAAATGACATCTTAAAAATTCTAAGTCTTACAATGTTGCAGGAAGTCAGGGACCCCAAATGGAGGGACCAGCTGAAGCCATGGCAGAAGAACGTAGATTGTGAAGATTTCATGGACATTTATTAGTTCCCCAAATTAATACTTTTGTAATTTCTTATGCCTGTCTTTACTGCAATCTCTAAACATAAATTGTAAAGATTTCATGGACACTTATCACTTCCCCAGTCAATACCCTTGTGATTTCCTATGCCTGTCTTTACTTTAATCTCTTAATCCTGTCAGCTGAGGAGGATGTATATCGCCTCAGGACCCTGTAATAATTGCATTAACTGCACAAATTGTACAGCATGTGTGTTTGAACAATATGAAATGTGGGCACCTTGAAAAAAGAACAGGATAACAACAATTGTTCAGGGAATAAGAGAGATAACCTTAAACTCTGACCACCGGTGAGCTGGACGGAACAGAGCCAAATTTCTCTTCTTTCAAAAGCAAATGGGAGAAATATCGCTGAATTCTTTTTCTCAGCATGGAAAATCCCTGAGAAAGAGAATGCGCACCTGGGGGTGGGTCTCTGAACTGGCCCCCCTGGGCGTGGCTGCCTCTTATGGTCCAGGCTGCAGGGGTGAAATAGACCCATCTCCCATAGCACTCCCAGGCTTATTAGGAAGAGGAAATTCCCACCTACTAAATTTTGGTCAGACCAGTTGATCTCAAAACCCTGTCTCCTGATAAGGAGTTATCAATGACAATGGTGCCCAAAACTTCATTAGCAATTTTAATTTCTCCTCGGTCCTGTGGTCCTGTGATCTCACCCTGCCTCCACTTGCCTTGTGATATTCTATTGCCTTGTAAAGCACTTGATGTCTGTGACCCACACCTATTCGCACACTCCCTCCCCTTTTAAAGCTCCCTAATAAAAACTTGCTGGTTTTTGCGGCTTGTGGGGCATCACGGAACCTACCAACATGTGCTGTCTCCCCCGGAGGCCCAGCTTTAAAATTTCTCTCTTTTGTACTCTGTCCCTTTATTTCTCAAGCTGGCTGATGTGTAAGGAAAATAGAAAAGAACCTATGTGAATATTGGGGCAGGTTCCCCAATATTCCAATCCATAAATATATGATATAGCTCTCCATTTATTTAAAAATTTTCCAATTTTCCTCAGCAACATTTTGTACTTTTCAGTGTAGACATCTGCATATCTTTTGGTAAGTTTATTTCTCTGAGGATTTTATGTTTTTCGATGCTAGATTTTCAGAGAGTTTCTAGAAGGAATTTTGTTTCTTTTTATGTTCTTTGTCTTACAGGTTCCTTAGAACTGCAAATAAAGTCAATCTTACTTCTTCCTTTCAATCTCTATGTCTATTCTCTTACTTTCTTGCTTTATTAGACTGGCTAGGATTTCTACTATGACATTGAATAAAAGTGGTAAAAGCAGACATCCTTGCCAGGAAAATCCTGGTCTTAAGGAAAAATGCTCACTATTTCACCATTAATATGAGTTTCGCTATCAGAATTTTTATAGATTTTCTCTATAAAATTTCCCTAGAAATAGAAGAAGTTTCCTTCTATTGCTAGTTTTGGGAGTGTTTATCATGTATGTGTATTGAATTTTGTCAAATTCTTCTCCATCTATTGATATGATCAAATTTTTTTCTCCTTTATCTGCTAGTGTAGTGAATCACCGCATCAATGATTTTCAAATTTTCAAGCAATCTTGTGTTCCTGGGATAAAGTTCACTTGATCATAATGTATTGACATTTTTATATAATTCTAGATTTTGTTTGCTAATGTATTGTTGAGGACTTTGTGTCTGTGGTCAGGAGGGATATTGACCTGTAATTGTCTTTTTCGTAGTTTTGTTAGGCTTGGTGTCAGGGTTGTGCTGGTTTCATAAAACGAGTTTAGTTGGTTTCCTCTGTGTTTTCTGAAAGATACTGTGCCAGGTTGGGATTACTTCCTTGAATGTTTTAGAGCATCATCAGAGAAGCCATTTATAACTGAAGTATTTTCATAAAGCTTATTTATTGAAAATTAAGTTTCTTTAAGCAATATGGAGCTCTTCCCATTTTTATATTTCTTCCTGAGGCATTTTAGTAAATTGTATTTTTCAGTACAATCAAACATCCCTTCATGATAAAAATCCTCAACAGATGAGGCACGGAAAGAACATATTTCAAAATAATAAAAGCCATCTATGACAAACCCACAGCCAATAGCATACTGAGTGGTCAAAAGCTGGAACCATTCCCCTTGAGGACTGGAACAAGACAAGGATGCCCACTCTCATCATTCCTACTAAAAGTCCTAGCCAAAGCAATTAGGCAAGAGAGAGAAATAAAAAGCAACCAAAATTGGAAAAAAGAAAGTCAAACTCTTCCCTGGCAATATGACTGTATACCTTGAAAACCCTAAAGACTCCACCAAAAGACTTCTAGTACTGATAAATGACTTAAGTAAAGCTTCAAGATATAAAATAAATGCACAAAAATAAGTAGCATTTCTATAAACCAATAATGTCCAGGCTGAGAGTCAAATCAACAATGCAATCCCATTTACAATAGCCACAGTGAAAATGAAATATTTAGAAATACAGCTAACCAAGCAGGTGAAAGATTTCTACAAGGAGAACTGCAAAACACTGTTAAAGACATCAAAGACTACACAAATAAATGGAAAAACATTCCATGTTAAAATGACCATACTGCTCAAAGAAAGTTGCAGATTCAATGCTATTCTTATTGAACTACCAATGTCATTTTTCACAGAATTAGAAAAAGCTATTCTAAAATTCATATGGAACCAAAAAATAGCCCTAAGAGTCAAAGCAATCTTAAACAAAAAGAACAGTGGGGAGGAGCCAAGATGGCCCAATAGGAACACCTCCGGTCTACAGCTCCCAGCATGAGCGAGGCAGAAGACGGGTGATCTCTGCATTTCCATCCGAGGTACCAGGTTCATCTCACTAGGGAGTGCCAGACAGTGGGCGCAGGTCAGTGGGTGCGTGCACCATGCGCAAGCCAAAGCAGGGCGAGGCATTGCCTCACTCGGGAAGTGCAAGGGGTCAGGGAGTTCCCTTTCCTAGTCAAAGAAAGGGGTGACAGACGGCACCTGGAAAATCGGGTCACTCCCACCCGAATACTGCGCTTTTCCTATGGGCTTAAAAAAAAACGGCGCACCAGGAGATTATATCGCACACATGGCTCGGAGGTTCCTATGCCCACGGAGTCTCACTGATTGCTAGCACAGCAGTCTGAGATCAAACTGCAAGGCGGCAGCGAGGCTGGGGGAGGGGTGCCCACCATTGCCCAGGCTTGCTTAGGTAAACAAAGAAGCCGGGAAGCTCCCACTGGGTGGAGCCCACCACAGCTCAAGGAGGCCTGCCTGCCTCCGTAGGCTCCACCCCTGGGGGCAGGGCACAGACACACAAAAAGACAGCAGTATCCTCTGCAGACTTAAATGTCCCTGTCTGACAGCTTTGAAGAGAGCAGTGGTTCTCCCAGCATGCAGCTGGAGATCTGAGAACGAGCAGACTGCCTCCTCAAGTGGGTCCCTGACCCCTGACCCCCGAGCAGCCTAACTGGGAGGCACCCCCCAGCGGGGGCAGACTGACACCTCACACGGCCGGGTACTCCAACAGACCTGAAGCTGAGGGTCCTGTCTGTTAGAAGGAAAACTAACAAACAGAAAGGACATCCACACCAAAAACCCATCTGTACATCACCATCATCAAAGACCAAAAGTAGATAAAACCACAAAGATGGGGAAAAAACAGACCAGAAAAACTGGAAACTCTAAAACGCAGAGCGCCTCTCCTCCTCCAAAGGAACGCAGTTCCTCACCAGCAACGGAACAAAGCTGGACAGAGAATGACTTTGATGAGCTGAGAGAAGAAGGCTTCAGACGATCAAATTACTCTGAGCTATGGGAGGAAATTCAAACCAAAGGCAAAGAAGTTGAAAACTTTGAAAAAAGTTTAGAAGAATGTATAACTAGAGTAACCAATACTGAGAAGTGCTTAAAGGAGGTGATGGAGCTGAAAACCAAGGCTCGAGAACTACGTGAAGAATGCAGAAGCCTCACGAGCCAATGCGATCAACTGCAAGAAAGGGTATCAGCGATGGAAGATGAAGTGAATGAAATGAAGCAAGAAGGGAAGTTTAGAGAAAAAAGAATAAAAAGAAATGAGCAAAGCCTCCAAGAAATATGGGACTATGTGAAAAGACCAAATCTACGTCTGATTGGTGTACCTGAAAGTGATGGGGAGAATGGAAGCAAGTTGGAAAACACTCTGCAGGATATTATCCAGGAGAACTTCCCCAACCTAGCAAGGCAGGCCAACATTCAGATTCAGGAAATACAGAGAATGCCACAAAGATACTCCTCGAGAAGAGCAACTCCAAAACACATAACTGTCAGATTCACCAAAGTTGAAATGAAGGAAAAAATGTTAAGGGCAGCCAGAGAGACAGGTCAGGTTACCCACAAAGGGAAGCCCATCAGACTAACAGTGGATCTCTCAGCAGAAACACTACAAGCCAGAAGAGAGTGGGGGCCAATATTCAACGATCTTAAAGAAAAGAATTTTCAACCCAGAATTTCATATCCAGCCAAACTAAGCTTCATAAGTGAAGGAGAAATAAAATCCTTTACAGACAAGCAAATGCTGAGAGATTTTGTCACCACCAGGCCTGCCCTAAAAGAGCTCCTGAAGGAAGCACTAAACATGGAAAGGAACAACCGGTACCAGCCACTGCAAAATCATGCCAAGACTAGGAAGAAACTGCATGAACTAACGAGCAAAATAACCAGCTAACATCATAATGACAGGATCAAATTCACACATAACAATATTAATTTTAAATGTAAATGACTAAATGCTCCAATTAAACGACACAGACTGGCAAATTGCATGAAGAGTCAAGACCCATCAGTGTGCTGTATTCAGGAAACCCATCTCACGTGCAGAGACACAAATAGGCTCAAAACAAAAGGATAGAGGAAGATCTATTAAGCAAATGGAAAACAAAAAAAGGCAGGGGTTGCAATCCTAGTCTCTGATAAAACAGACTTTAAACCAACAAAGATCAAAAGAGACAAAGAAGGCCATTACAGAATTGTAAAGGGATCAATTCAACAAGAAGAGCTAACTATCCTAAATATATATGCACCCAACACAGGAGCACCCAGATTCATAAAGCAAGTCCTGAGTGACCTACAAAGAGACTTAGACTCCCACACATTAATAATGGGAGACTTTAACACCCCACTGTCAACACTAGACAGATCAACGAGACAGAAAGTCAACAAGGATACCCAGGAATTGAACTCAGCTCTGCACCAAGTGGACCTAATAGACATCTACAGAACTCTCCACCCCAAATCAACAGAATATACATTTTTTTCAGCACCACACCACACCTATTCCAAAATTGACCACATACTTGGAAGTAAAGCTCTCCTCAGCAAATGTAAAAGAACAGAAATTATAACAAACTATCTCTCAGACCAAAGTGCAATCAAACTAGAACTCAGGATTAAGAATCTCACTCAAAACTGCTCAACTACATGGAAACTGAACAACCTGCTCCTGAATGACTACTGGGTACATAACGAAATGAAGGCAGAAATAAAGATGTTCTTTGAAACCAACGAGAACAAAGACACAACATACCAGAATCTCTGGGACACATTCAAAGCAGTGTGTAGAGGGAAATTTATAGCACTAAATGCCCACAAGAGAAAGCAGGAAAGATCCAAAATTGACACCCTAACATCACAATTAAAAGAACTAGAAAAGCAAGAGCAAACACATTCAAAAGCTAGCAGAAGACAAGAAATAACTAAAATCAGAGCAGAACTGAAGGAAATAGAGACACAAAAAAACCCTTCAAAAAATTAATGAATCCAGGAGCTGGTTTTTTGAAAGGATGAACAAAATTGATAGACCGCTAGCAAGACTAATAAGGAAAAAAGAGAGAAGAATCAAATAGACACAATAAAAAATGATAAAGGGGATATCACCACCGATCCCACAGAAATACAAACTACCATCAGAGAATACTACAAACACCTCTACGCAAATAAACTAGAAAATCTAGAAGAAATGGATAAATTCCTTGACACATACACTCTCCCAAGACTAAACCAGGAAGAAGTTGAATCTCTGAATAGACCAATAACAGGATCTGAAATTGTGGCAATAATCAATAGCTTACCAACCAAAAAGAGTCCAGGACCAGATGGATTCACAGCCAAACTCTACATAGGTACAAGGAGGAACTGGTACCATTCCTTCTGAAACTATTCCAATCAATAGAAAAACAGGGAATCCTCCCTAACTCATTTTATGAGGCCAGCATCATCCTGATACCAAAGCCTGGCAGAGACACAACCAAAAAAGAGAATTTTAGACCAATATCCTTGATGAACATCCATGCAAAAATCCTCAATAAAATACTGGCAAACTGAATCCAGCAGCACGTCAAAAAGCTTATCCACCATGATCAAGTGGGCTTCATCCCTGGGATGCAAGGCTGGTTCAATATATGCAAATCAATAAATGTAATCCAGCATATAAACAGAACCAAAGACAAAAACCACATGATTATCTCAATAGATGCAGAAAAGGCCTTTGACAAAATTCAACAACCCTTCATGCTAAAAACTCTCAATAAATTAGGTATTGACAAGACATATCTCAAAATAATAAGAGCTATCTATGACAAACCCACAGCCAATATCATACTGAATGGGCAAAAACTGGAAGCATTCCCTTTGAAAACTGGCACAAGACAGGGATGCCCTCTCTCACCACTCCTATTCAACATAGTGCTGGAAGTTCTGGCCAGGGCAATCAGGCAGGAGAAGGAAATAAAGGGTATTCAATTAGGAAAACAGGAAGTCAAATTGTCCCTGTTTGCAGACGACATGATTGTATATCTAGAAAACCCCATTGTCTCAGCCCAAAATCTCGTTAAGCTGATAAGCAATTTCAGCAAAGTCTCAGGATACAAAATCAATGTACAAAAATCACAGGGATTCTTATACACCAACAACAGACAAACAGAGAGCCAAATCATGAGTGAACTCCCATTCACAATTGCTTCAAAGAGAATAAAATACCTAGGAATCCAGCTTACAAGGGATGTGAAGGACCTCTTCAAGAACTACAAACCACTGCTCAATGAAGTAAAAGAGGATACAAACAAATGGAAGAATATTCCATGCTCATTGGTAGGAAGAATCAATATCGTGAAAATGGCCATACTGCCCAACGTAATTTACAGATTCAATGCCATCCCCATCAAGCTACCAATGACTTTCTTCACAGAATTGGAAAAAACTACTTTAAAGTTCATATGGAACCAAAAAAGAGCCCGCATTGCCAAGTCAATCCTAAGCCAAAAGAACAAAGCTGGAGGCAGCATGCTACCTGACTTCAAACTATACTACAAGGCTACAGTAACCAAAATAGCATGGTACTAGTACCAAAACAGAGATACAGATCAATGGAACAGAACAGAGCCCTCAGAAATAACGCCGCATATCTACAACTATCTGATCTTTGACAAACCTGACCAAAACAAGCAATGGGGAAAGGATTCCCTATTTAATAAATGGTGCTGGGAAAACTGGCTAGACATATGTAGAAAGCTGAAACTGGATCCCTTCCTTACACCTTATACAAAAATCAATTCAAGATGGATTAAAGACTATAATGTTAGACCTAAAACCATAAAAACCCTAGAAGAAAACCTAGGCAATACCATTCAGGACATAGGCATGGGCAAGGACTTCATGTGTAAAACACCAAAAGCAATGGCAACAAAAGACAAAATTGACAAATGGGATCTAATTAAACTAAAGAGCTTCTGCACAGCAAAAGAAACTACCATCAGAGTGAACAGGCAACCTACAAAATGGGAGAAAATTTTCGCAACCTACTCATCTGACAAAGGGCTAATATCCAGAAGCTACAATGAACTCAAACACATTTACAAGAAAAAAACAAACAACCCCATCAAAAAGTGGGCAAAGGACATGAACAGACACTTCTCAAAAGAAGACATTTATGCAGCCAAAAAACACATGAAAAAATGCTCACCATCACTGGCCATCAGAGAAATGCAAATCAAAACCACAATGAGATACCATCTCACACCACTTAGAATGGCAATCATTAAAAAGTCAGGAAACAACAGGTGCTGGAGAGGATGTGGAGAAATAGGAACACTTTTACACTGTTGGTGGGACTGTAAACTAGTTCAACCATTATGGAAGTCAGTGTGACGATTCCTCAGGGATCTAGAACTAGAAATACCATTTGACCCAGCCATCCCATTACTGGGTATATACCCAAAGGACTACAAATCATGCTGCTATAAAGACACATGCACACGTATGTTTATTGCGGCATTATTCACAATAGCAAAGACTTGGAACCAACCCAAATGTCCAACAATGATAGACTGGATTAAGAAAATGTGGCACATATGCACCATGGAATACTATGCAGCCATAAAAAATGATCAGTTCATGTCCTTCGTAGGGACATGGATGAAATTGGAAATCATCATACTCAGTAAACTATCACAAGGACAAAAAACCAAACACCAGATGTTCTCACTCATAGGTGGGAACTGAACAATGAGAACACATGGACACAGGAAGGGGAACATTACACTCTGGGGACTGTTGTGGGGTGGGGTGAGGGGGGAGGGATAGCATTGGGAGATATACCTAATGCTAGATGACGAGTTGATGGGTGCAGCACACCAGCATGGCACATGTATACATATTTAACTAACCTGCACATTGTGCACATGTACCCTAAAACTTAAAGTATAATAATAATAAATAAATAAATAAATAAATAAATAAATAAATAAATAAATAAAAGAATTGGAAGAACTTAAAAAAAAAACAAAGAACAAAGCTAGAGGCATCACACTTGACTTCAAACTATATTATAAGGCTATAGCAACCAAAACAGCATGATACTATTTTGGCACAAAACAGCCAGAAATAAAGTTGTACACCTCCAACCATCTAATCGTCAACACACTTGATAAAAATGAGCAATGGGAAAAAAGAATTTCTGTTCAATAAATGGTGCTGGGATAACTGGCTAGCCATATGCAGAGGAATGAAACTGGGCTCCAACCATATACAAAAAATAACTCAAGATGGATTAAAGACCTAAATGTAAAATGTAAAACTATAAAAAGCCTAGAATTAAACCTAAGAAATGCACTTCTCAATATTGACCTTGGCAAAGAATTTATAACTAAGTCCTCAAAAGCAATTGCAACAAAAACAAAAATTGATTAGTAACACCTAATTAAGCTAAAGAGCTTCTGCACAGCAAGAGTGCTATCAACAGAGTAAACAGATAACCTACAGAATGGTAGAAAATATTTGCAAACTGCATCCAACAAAGGTCTAATACCCAGAATCTATAAGGAATTTAAACAAATCAAAAAGCAAAAACCAAATATCCCCACTAAAAGTGGGCAAAGGACATGAACAGACACTTCTCAAAAGAAGACACACAAGTGGCCAAGAAACATATGAAAAAAGCCTCCACATCACTAATCATCAGAGAAATGCAAATCAAAACCATAATGAGATACCAACTCACACCAGTCAGAATGGTTTTTGCAAAAGAGTCAAAACATTACAGATATTGGCAAAGCTGAGGAGAAAAGGAGACATTTATACACTGTTGATGGGTATGTAAATTATTCCAGCGGCTGTGGAGAGCAGTTTGGAAACTCCTCAAAGAACTAAGAATTGAACCACCATTCAACCCAGCAATCCCATTACTGGATATATTCCCAGAAGAAAATAATTCATTCTACCAAAAAGACACATGCACCCATGTGTTAATCACAGCCCTATTCTCAATAGCAAAAATATGGACTCAACCCTGGTGCCCATCGACAGTGGACTAGATAAGGAAAATGTGGTACCTATATGTCATGGAATACTACACAGCCATAAAAAGGATGAAATCATGCCTTTTGCAGCAACATGGGTGGAACTGGAAGCCATTATCCTAAGCAAACTGATACAGAAACAGAAAACCAAATACCACATGTTCTCACTTATAAGTGGGAGCTAAACATGGGATACACATGCAAATAAAGATAGCAACAATAGATGGGGAAGAGAAAAACTACCTACAGTGTACTATGTCTACTATGTGAGTGATGGGTTCACTCATACCCCAAACTTCAGTATCACACAATTTACCTTTGTTACAAATATACATACGTACGCCCTGATTTTAAAATAAAAGTTGAAAAAAAGGAATGAAAATAACAATACAACAATAAAAAATATAAACAAAAATACAGTAGAACAATGTTTTACATAGTATTTACATTGTATGAGGTATTATAAGTAATCTTGAGATTAAAGTATACAGGAGGATGTGCATAGGTTCTTTGCAAATACTACACCATTTTATATAACGGACTTGAGGATAACTGTGGATTTTGGTATCCCCAGGCATCCTAGAACCAACCCCCATGGACACCAAGAGATGAGTATATGCCTTTAATGGCAATTTGAAAACTTTGAAATTTGTCATGATTATATAAGTCTTTGTTCATAATTAAGTTCTAAGTTTACAGGGTTGATTTTATCCCAGTTTAGTCTGTTTTTAAATATAAGATTCTATTTTTAAATATAAGATTCTAAGTGAAAGAGTAACAGGTAAAATTGGAGCCTTTTTCTGTAAAGCTTTTTTGGTATAGTTCAATGAAATCGAGAAAATGAATGACTCTAATGGCTGGGTTGCAAATTATTTTGTAAAACCAGTGATTTCCAGTTCTTTGTTTTAACAAAATTGAAGGAAGACCCAATCAATTCTGACGGGAACACAAGAAGACCCATCCTAAAAATGTCAAGTCTTCTTCACTGGCCACCTCATGTTCTTCCTTATTCAATGGGCCGATGTACGAACTGACAAAGGCATTAGGGATGGTGGCCGTGCGTGAGATCAGCTCTGTGATCTGACCTAGCTACCATCAGTGCTGACTGCCCAACCTGCCAACTTACAGGCCAGGCCAATGCTGAGACCCTGAAATATCACTATGTCTGGCAGGAACAGCCAAATGCCTTGCCGTAGATTTATTACATTAAAACTTCCCATCATGTAGGATACAGTGTTTCATCCTCATAGGATTACATACATTTTGTTGGCATAGATTGCCTTCTCTGCCTGCAGCACTTCTGCCAGCACCACTATTTCTGGACTTTCAGTAGTAAAGAAGCTGAGATTTTTTTTTCCACTCTTACCCATGACAGTTTGAGGGCTGTTCCCAGGGACACTTACTGTTTAGCATTTCTGGTTTGCTTTGCTCAGGGGACCAAGAATACTCTTGCAAATCGAGTAAGTCCTCTGAATAAGAGTGGCAGTTATTTGCAATAGGAAGCCATTAATAAGCCTAGAAATGGTGAATGCCTAAGAGATGTGGGCAAGAAACTAATAGTGTCTATTAGAAATAAGTTTCAGTTTTCCAACACATTATTTTTGTGGTAACATGGATTATAAGGATTTGTAAGAATTATTTTTAGAAAATGTAATGAAAAAAATTAGAGCCATTCATGGTATTGCAAAAGATATATAATCAAACACTTCAAAACTTATAATTCTTGAAACTATCCTATATCTGGGATAACCCAAATACCAACAAATAAAACCGAAATTAAAGAGTTGGATTTCCAGGTTAGTTCATGCTGTTATAAATGGCAGTATCTTCTTCAAAGGCTGAAAAGTATTCCACTGAATACATATACCACAATTTATTTTTCACTTAAATAAAGCATACTGAATATTTACTATTTTATTATACTTACAGCTTATTTTTCATTTAATATTGGTTTTTTTGTTTGCTTTTTATGTGCTTTGTTGTTTTATCCTGTTTATTTTTGTTTTTCTTTTTTTCTGTTTGGAAGGAATTAGAAATCTGAATACTATCTTCAACTATAAAATGGGGATTTGGGTGATAAATTATTTTATCTCTAAGATCTTTTACAGATGTTATATTTTATAATTTTATAAATAGCGAAAAATACATAGTATTAAAAGTTATGAATAAACAAGACAAACAGTAGCCACGTAATTAGAATAGTTGTATTGTGATATGCTCGAGTTTGTTTAAAACTATTAACAAAATATTCAGGAAAACACTATATTATAACATGACAGCCTAAAAGTATTCTCCCAAGACTTTTATTATTTTTTTAAAATTACTGTGAGAAAACTGAGGAATAAAAAGAGTATCTGTTCAGGCTGGGCATGGTGGCTCATGCCTGTAATCCCAGTACTTTGGGAGCCCGAGGCAGGTGGATCACGAAGTCAGGAGATTGAGACCATCCTGGCTAACATGGTGAAACCCCATCTCTACTAAAAATACAAAAAATTAGCTGGGCATGGTGGCAGGCGCCTGTAGTTCCAGCTACTCGGGAGGCTGAGGCAGGAGAATGGTGTGAACCCGGGAGGTGGAGCTTGCAGTGAGCTGAGATCATGCCAATCATGCCAATGCACTCCAGCCTGGGTGACAGCACGAGACTCCATCTCAAAAAAAAAAAAAAAAAAAAGTATCTGTTTAAAAACATGCCCAGTTACTATTATTAAAGAAGAAAGGGCAATGATGAAAAACAAAATGTTTCTTCTTAGAAATTAACTTATCCATAATGGAAACTGAGATAAAAGAGAATGATGAACATCTCATTTTGTCTCCAGTTCTTAGCTCCAAAGACAATATTTCCAGCATTCAGCATTTGTTTTTCAGCTAATACAGGGAGCTGACTCCATTCTGTTTTACCAATAAATCATTCAATGGAAAAGCTATTGTCAGAATGAGAGAAAACTGCCAAGTATAGTGAGAGAGTACATCCAATGGTATTAGGAGATGTAAGTTCTAGTTCTGGTTGTACCATCTAATAATCTTAGTCCTCCTGAGCCTCTTTTCATATTAATCCAACAGAGATAATAATACCATTTACCACACAGCATTCTTTTAAGTCAAAAGAGACAACATATGTGAAAAGAAATTGAAAGCTATAATATGAGTTAGTTGTTGCAATTGTTCATAAGCCTGTAAGTCAGGATTCTCTTGTTTCATCCTAGAGGCTATGCAGTCAGTAGGAGAAAAATGGAAATCTGCAAAATGGCTTTGGTTTGGTTAGTAATGATTTTCCCATTACTAACCAAAATATACAGCAAAAGAATAGTACAATAAGAAAAGAATTTTTCAGTCTTCAGAGTCAAGAATTCAAGATAAGGTAACTAGACATTGCAGTTTTTCTAGTGTTTTGGTGTATAAATGCTCCTCAACTTACAATGAAGTTACTTCCCAAGAAACTCATCATAGATTAAAAATATTTTAAGTAGAAAATGCATCTAATACGCCTAACCTAACGAGCATCATAACTTAGCCTATCCTACCTTAAACATGCTCAGAATACTTACGTTAGCCTATAGTTGAGCAACAGCATCTAACACAAAGCCTATTTCATAATAAAGTGTTAAATACCTCATATAATTTATTGAATACTGTATTGAAAGTGAAAAACAGAATGCTTGTATAGGTACCATCCTAAAGTTGAAACCATTGTAAGTCATGGGCAGTCTATAATTATTAATAACACCCCAGTTCTTTTGCTAAAGGTGCCCTGCTTATCCAGTAAATTACATAACCACCATAGGGTGCTAATAGGTGCTAATAATGTGCTGTCTCAGCAGCAGGTTCATATAGGCAATAGTGTGAAACTCTCCAATGTTCTAGATATATAAGGTGCAACCAAATTTTACTCCCAACCCCCTTCTGGAGAGAATGATGAAACCAGCTAAAAGAACAAGGTAATTATTGGGCTCATTGATATGTATTCTAAAAAGCATGAATACTGTGGTTGAAGTTTCTAACTGTCCACCAAAATCCATTTTCCTCTTCTGCCATAGAAATAGTTGTATCTACGACAGGGTTGCCAACCAGGGAATATATTTCCTTGCATCCCTTACGCCAAGTGTTGCCATTTGCCTAAGTTTCTATTAATGAAATGTTAGTAGGGGTGATGTGTGTCTCTTTTAGGCCTGCCTGCAAAGCATGTACATGCCCCATGGTCTTCCCCTTCCCACAGGTATAATCCATGACAACTAAGCTTTCATGGTACTGATGACCATCACATGACAGAAACAAGCATCTGTGTAGAGCAGAGCTGACTGTTGCTCTGGGTCCCTCATCTCAGACAGTTCATTCAGAGATAAACTAGCTTTTAAGTCATTATGCTTTTAGGCCTTTTGTTACAATAGCCCCACTTCACCCGAGCTAACATAGATAGCTCTGAAATACATCTTTGGAAATAAAGTGCAAGGGCCAAGGCAGAAGAAGGAGGAAACCAGGAATACGAGGCTTTTGAAGAGACTTGCCTGTTGAGGAAACACGGGACAAATGTGACCTAGGGAGCCAGCTGGCTGGCCTGAGTGAATTCCTCACTGTCTCCATCCATTTGCTGTGTCCAGAGTGAGGAGAAATTGGCTTCTCCCTCACATTGACGGCACGGTCAGGAAATGACAGTTGCGCCTAAGAGCTCACTTTTACTTGCAAACAGAGTTCTCAAAATAATTCAAAAGAAATGTCCCAGATTTCCAACTGATCATTCACACACACACACACACACACACACACACACACACACACACACACACCCAACCACCACCACCAACAACAACAACAATTCAACTCCATCTTTCACTGCTTTCTTTTGCTCACTGCCAAAGGGACTGAACTTACATAGCCTAGAGTTCTGACTCACCGACTCACATGGATAGAGGGATCACACTAAATCCTGGTTGACATAAGCAGGTACATAAAATCCACAAGGCATTTAAGGGGACACACTGGGAGGAGGTATAATAAACTGAACAAACAGAACTGGTGTTCCGATGATACTGAACTTCTGAAAAATACACAAGGTAATTGTAATATAAATATCATAAGAATGGCTAGTTACCATTAGTAAACATAAAGATTTTTCAAAATAAAAAATATAGTTTATGTATTTAAGATTCAATCACACAATTAAAAAAGAGAATAATCGGCTGGGCGCGGTGGCTCATGTCTGTAATCCCAGCACTTTGGGAGGCCGAGGCGGGCAGATCACGAGGTCAAGGAGATCGAGACCATCCTGGCTAACACGGTGAAATCTCGTTTCTACTAAAAATACAAAAAAAAAAATTAGCCAGGCATGGTGGCGGGTGCTTGTAGTCCCAGCTACTCAGGAGGCTGAGGCAGGAGAATGGTGTGAACCCGGGAGGCAGAGCTCGCAGCGAGTCGAGATCGCGCCACTGCACTCCAGTCTGGGTGACAGAGTGAGACTCCGTCTCAAAAAAAAAAAAAAAAAAAAAAGAGAATAATCACTCCTAAACATTAAATTAGTGTGCATAAAATTCAAGCAGAATATGTATGTCACAACTCAAAGGGGAAAACAAATTTTAAAAATGAATGAAATATTAAGCCTGGAAGAAAGAGACTTATTGTATAAATCATCAAGTAATAGAAAGACAAAACAGTAACACAAATAATGTAGACTTAAAAGTAAGTATAAACTAGGTATACAAAGAACATAATTAAGGGTAGCTATAAACCAGGAGCTCTGGAACAAAAAACCATGAATAGGCTGAATACTGCTATCATAATTCAATGACCCTCAGACTGAGTTAGAATCAAAGTTCAAATCAGAGAACTGGAAGACAAATAGAGGAAGTACTACATAATACACTGTATATTTTTAATAGAAGTCATTAGTGGAAAAAACAAGAGGCTTTTGTAAAAATAAAAAAGGCTGTCAAAAAGAAATATGTCTAAAGCAAAATTATTTTTTTAAAGTATAAAAAAGAGATTGATAAAAAATAAATGACAGCAACAGGAAAACAGAACTGTGGCATTGTCAATACAATGTAAAACAGAATTCAAGTAAAAACTACTAACTTATAAAAAGGATTTTTAGTAACAATAAAACAGAAATCCCCAAAATTGATATAAAGATACAAACACATATATACCTAATAACAAAGAAATAAAATCAGACTAAATATTTGACAAAATTGACAAACTTGCGAAATATTGCTGGAGTAATGAGAATAGAAGCAATGATCATGGTTTTCTAACAGCAAAAATTTGCAAACACGGTTTTGTTTTCCTTTGCTTATGAGACTATGTTATTTAATTCAATTTAACTATTTATTATGCACAGACTACATGCAAGACTGATGTTCAGGTAGTTAAACGCTGATGTAAATTATGACAACATTGCTCCTGTTTAACTTTCACAAACAAAAAAATCTATAAATTGAATTTGATGTGATATACTTACAATAGTAATGATTTCAAAAATTATATCAATTGACTTATTAATTAGAAGAAACAGTGAAGTATTTAAAAGCTGAAAGAATATCCAATAGCTTCTCATAACTTCCTTTTTACTTGGCTAATAGAGACCAATGCAATACAATATGTTGGGACCATTTGTATAGTTAATAAAAGGAATTCCTGCATTTAGTATAGGATAACTCATTTTATTGTACTTCACTTTATTTTACTTCTTAGATATCACAATTTGTACAAAATGAAAATTTGCAGCAACTTGTGTCAGGCAAGTCTATTGACATCATTTTTCTTTTTTTATTCTTTTATTTTTCACCTTTTTTTCTTTTTTTCTTCTAAAATAAAAGAAATAGGATACATGTGCAAAACGTGCAGGTTTGTTACATAGGTATACATGTGCCATGGTGGTTTGCTGCACCTATTAACCCATCATCTAAGTTCCCTCCCCTCACCCCCACATCCCAACAGGCCCTGGTGTGTGTTGTTCCCCTCTCTGTGTCCATGTGTTCTCAATGTTCAACTCCCACTTATGAGTGAGAACATGCAGTGTTTGGTTTTCTATTCCTGTGTTAGTTTGCTGAGGATGATGCCTTCCAACTTCTTGCATGTCCCTGCAAAGGACATGATCTCATTCCTTTTTATGGCTGTATAGTATTCCATGGTGTATATGTACCAAATTTTCTTTATCCGTCTATCATTGATGCGCATTTGGGTTGGTTCCATGACTTTGCTATTGTGAATAGTGCTGCAATAAACATACGTGTGCATGTGTCTTTATAGTAGAATGATTAATATTCCTTTGGGCATATACCCAGTAATGGGACTGCTGAGTCAAATGGTATTTCTGGTTCTAGACCCTTGAGGAATCGCCATATTGTCTTCTATAAGGGTTGAACTAATTTACATTCCCACCAACTGTGTAAAAGTGTTCCTATTTCTCCACAGCCTTGACAGCATCTATTGTTTCCTGACTTTTTAATATTTGCCATTCTGACTGGCATGAGATGGTATCTCACTGTGGTTTTGATTTGCATTTCTCTGATGATTAGTGATGTTGAGCTTTTTTTCATATGCTTGTTGGCCATGTAAATGTCTTCTTTTGCGAAGCGTCTGTTCATATACTTTGCCCACTTTTTAATTGGGTTGTCTTTTTCTCCTAAAAAGTTTCCTGTAAATTCTGGATATTAGACCCTTGTCAGATGGGTAGATGCAAAAATTTTCTCCCATTCTGTAGGTTGCCTGTTCCCTCTGATGATAGTTTCTTTTGCCGTGCAGAAGCTCTTTAGTTTAATTAGATCTCATTTGTCAATTTTGGCTTTTGTTGCAATTGCTTTTGGCATTTTCATTATGAAGTCTTTGCCATGCCTATGTCCTGAATGGTATTGCCTAGGTTTTCTTCTAGGGTTTTTATGGTTTGGGATTTTACATTTATGTCTTTAATTTATCTTGAGTTTATTTTTGTATAAGGTGTAAGGAAGGGGTACAGTTTCTGTTTTCTGCATATGGCTAGCCAGTTTTCCCAGCACTGTTTACTGAATGAGATTCTTGCCCCATTGCTTGTTTTTGTCGGGTGTGTTGATGATCAGATGGTTGTAGATGTGTGGTATTATTTCTCAGGTCTCTGTTCTGCTCCATTGGTCTATATGTCTGTTTTGGTAACAGTATCATGCTGTTTTGGTTACTGTAGCCTTGTAGTACAGTTTGAAGACAGGTAACGTGATGCCTCCAGCATTGTTCTTTTTTCTTAGGATTGTCTTGACTATAAGAAGTCTTCTTTGATTCCACATGAAATTTAAAACAGTTTGTTCTAATTCTGTGAAGAAAGTCAGTGGTAGTTTGATGAGAATAGCATTGAATCTATAAATTACTTTGGGTAGTATGGCCATTGTCATGATTCTTTCTATCCACGAGGATGGAATATTTTTCCATTTGTTTGTGTCCTTTCTGATTTCCTTGAGCAGTGGTTTGTAGTTCTCCTTGAAGAGGTCCTTCACATCCTTTGTTAGCTGTATTTCTAGGTATTTTATTTTCTTTGTAGCAATTGTGAAGGGGAATTCATTCATGATTTCACTCTCTGTTTGCCTATTGTTGGTGTAAAGGAATGCTTGTGATATTTTTGCACATTGATTTTGTATCCTGAGACTTTGTTGAAGTTGCTTATCAGTTCAAGAAGTTTTTGGGCTTAGATGATGGGATTTTCTAAATATAAAATCATGTCAGCTGCAAATAGAGACCACTTGACTTTCTCTCTTCCTATTCGAATACACTTTATTTCTTTCTCTTGTTTGATTGCCCTGACCAGAACTTCCAATACTATGTTGAATAGGAGTGGTGAGAGAGGGCATCTTTTTCTTTTACTGGTTTGTAAAGGAAATGCTTCCAGATTTTGCCCATTCAATATGATATTAGCTGTGGGTTTGTCATAAATAGCTCTTATTATATTGAGATATGTTCCATCGATACCTAGTTTATTGAGAGTTTTTAACATGAAGTGATGTTGAATTTTATCAAAGGCCTTTGCTGCATCTATTGAGATAATTATGTGGTTTTTGTCTTTGGTTCTGTTCATCTGATTTGCATATATGTTGAACCAGCCTTGCATCCCAGGGATGAAGCCGACTTGATTGCGGTGGGTGAGTATTTTGATGTGCTGCTGGATTTGGTTTGCCAGTATTTTACTGAGGATTTTCGTATCAATGTTCATCAGGGATATTGGCCTGAAGTTTTCTTTTTTTGTTGTGTCTCTGCCAGGTTTTGGTATCAGGGTGATGCTGGCTTCATAAAATGAGTTCAAGAAGAGTCCCTCCTTTTCAGTTGTTTGGAATATTTTCAGAAGGAATGGTAAGAACTTCTCTTTGTATTTATGGTAGAATTCAGCTGTGAAGCTGTCTGGTTCTGGGCTTTTTTTGGTTAGTAGGCTATTAATTACTGCCTCAATTTCAGAGCTTGTTATTGGTCTATTCAGGGATTCAACTTCTTCCTGGTTTAGTCTTGGTAGGATGTTGGCATCCAGGAATTTATCCATTTCTTCTAGATTTTCTAGTTTATTTGCATATAGATGTTTATAGTATTCTCTGATGGTAGTTTGTATTTTTGTAGGGTCAGTTGTGATATCCTCTTTATCATTTTTTACTGTGTCTATTTAATTAATCTCTCTCTTCTTTATTAGTCTAGCAAGTGGTGTATTGTGTTAATTTTTTGAAAAACCAGCTCCTGGATTTGTTGATTTTTTTGGAGGGTTTGTAGTATTTCTATCCTTCAATTCTTCTCTGATCTCAGTTATTTCTTGTCTTCTGCTAGCTTTGGTTACTTTGCTGTTGCCTCTCTAGCTCTTTTAATTGTGACGTTAGGGTTTTGATCTGACATCTTTCTGATGTGGGCATTTAGTCCTATAAATTTTCCCCTTAACACTACTTTAACACTGTCCCAGAGATTCAGGTATGTTGTCTCTTTGTTCTCATTGGTTTCAAAGGACTTCTTGATTTCTGCCTTAACTTCATTATGTACCTAGGAGTCACTCAAGAGCAGGCTGTTCAAATTTCATGAAATTGTGTGGTTTTGAATGAATTTCTTAATCCTGAGTTGTAATTTCATTGCACTGTGATCTGAGCGGCTGTTATGATTTCAGGTATTGCATTTGCTAAGGAGAGTTTTACTTCCAATTATGTGGTCAGTTTTAGAATAAGTGTCATGTGGCACTGAGAAGAATGTACATTCTGTTGATGAGGGAGAGAGTTCTGTAGACATCTACTAGATCCACTTGATCCAGATCTGAGTTCAGGTCCTGAATATCCTTGTTAATTTTCTGTCTCATTGACCTGTCTAATACTGGCAGTGTGGTGTTAAAGTCTCCCACTCTTATTGTGTGGGAGTCTAAGTCTCTTTGTAGGTCTCTAAAAACTTGTTTTATGAATCTGGGTGCTCCTTATTGGTTGCATATATAATCAGAATAGTTAGCTCTTCTTGTTGAATTGTTCCCTTTACCATTATGTAATGCCCCTCTTCGTCTTTTTTGATCTTTGTTGGCTTAAAGTCTATTTTTTCAAAGACTAGGATTGAAACCCTGCTTTTTTTTTTCTTTCCATTTGCTTGGTAAATTCTCCTCTATCCCTTTATTTTGAGCCTGTGTGTGTCTCTGCATGTAAGATGGGTCTCCTGAATATAGCACACTGATGGGTCTTGACTCTTTATCCAATTTGTCAGTCTGTGTCTTTCACTTGGGGCATTTAGCCCATTTATATTTAAGGTTAGTATTGTTATGTGTGAATTTGATCCTGTCATCATGATGCTATTTTGTTATTTTGTGCACTAGTTGATGCAGTTTCTTCACAGTGTCATTGGTCTTTATATTTTGGTGTGTTTTTGCAGTGGCTTGTACCAGTTTTTCTGTTCTGTATTTAGTGTTTCTTTCAGGAGCTCTTGCAGGGCAGGCCTGGTGGTAATGAAATCCCTCAGCATTTGCTTCTCTAGATTTCCCCTTTGCTTATGAAGCTTAGTTTGGCTGGATATGAAATTCTGGGTTGAAAATTATTTTCTTTAAGAATGTTGAATATTGGCCCCCACTCTCTTCTGGCTTGTAGGGTTTCTGCAGAGAGATCTGCTGTTAGTCTGATGGGCTTCCCTCTGTAGGTAATCTGACCTTTCTCTCTGGCTGCCCTTAACATTTTTCCTTCATTTCAACCTTGGAGAATCAGATGATTATGTGTCTTGGGGTTGATCTTCACATGGAGTATCTCAACGGTGTTCTCTGTATTTCCTGAATTTGCATGTTGACCTCTCTTGCTGAAGTGTGTTTTCCAGCTTGTTCCCATTCTCCCCATCTCCTTCTGATACTCCAATCAATCGTAGGCTCGGTCTTTTTATGAGGTCCCATATTTCTTGGAGGCTTTGTTCATTCCTTTTCATTCTTTTTTCTCTATTCTTCTCTGCATGTCTTATTTCAGTAAGATGGACTTCAAACTCTGATATCCTTTCTTCCACTTGGTCAGTTTGGCTGTTGATATTTAAGTATGTAGATACATAATATGTTGATATTATGTATGTATATTATGTATGCATATGTTAATATTTAGGTATGCTTCACAAAGTTCTCCTGCTGCATTTTTCAGCTCCATCAGGTCCTTTATGTTCCTCTCTAAACTGGTTATTATAGTTAGCAATTCATCTAACCTTTTATCTAAGTTCTTAGCTCCTTTGCATTAGGTTAGAACACACTCCTTTAGCTCATCATAGTTTTTTATTACCCATTTTCTAAAGCCTACTTCTGTCAATTCGTCCATCTGATCCTCCATCCAGTTTTGTCCCCTCGATGGAGACACACTGTAATCATTTGGAGGAGAAGAGGCACTCTGGCCTTTTGGGTTTTCAGCATTTTTTTGTTGATTCTTTCTCAGCTTTATAAGTTTGTCTGGTTTCAGTCTTTGAGGCTGCTGACTCTTGGATGGGGTTTTTGTGGGGACCTTTTTGTTGTTGTCGTTGTTGCTTTCTGCTTGTTTGTTTTTCTTTCAATAGTCGGGTCTCTTTTCTGTAGGGCTGCTGCAGTTTGCTGGGGGTTCACTTCAGACCTTATTCATCTGATTTGCTCCCGTGCCTGGAGATGTGACTCAAGGAAGTTGGAGAGCAGCAAAGATGGGTGCCTGCTCCTTCTGCTGGAACCTCTGACCTCAAGGGGCACCAACCTGATGCCAGCAGGATTATTCCTATATAGGGTGTCTGACAACCCCTGTTGAAGGGTCTCACCCAGTTGGGTGTCACAGGGAACAGGATGCATTTAACAAAGCACTTTGTCCCTTGGTGGAGAGGTTGTGCTTTTCTTGGGGGAAACTCACTCGTCTGGGCTGCCCAGATTCCTCAGAACTGCCAGGAGGAGAGACTAAGTCTGCTGGTCAGCAGAGACTGTGGCCATGCCTCCCCCTAGGGGCTCAGGCCCAGGGAGTTCCAAATTCTGTTCCTGAGCCTCTGGCTGGCGTTATTGGAGATCCTGCAGGGAAGCCCTGTCCACTGAGAAAGGATGGGTCAAGTTTAGACCTGAAGAGGCACTCTGGCTGCACACTGCCACAGCCAGTGTGTTGGGCTGTGGGGACAATTCTTGGGGCCAAGCCACCCAGCTTCCCTGGCTCCAGCAGGGGAAAAGCACAGACTGGAGCTCTGGAAATGGGTGCCACCCTTCTCCTGCCCAGGAAGATTAGCATGTTAGGCAGTTGTGAGTCTCAGTGCTGGTTGCTGCCCCTCCCCCAAGGAGCTCAAATGGCTTAGACAGGAGGCAGCCACAGCCTGTGCTGGTTGCCCCTCCCCGTGGGAGTTCAGTAAGCTTAAGCAGACTCCAGCTGAGAGGCTCTAAAAATCTGTGTGTTCTGGGGTTGGGACGCTAAGCCCCAGTCGCATGGATTCGTAAGAGGGATACTCTGATCCATGGGTTGCACAGTTTCATGGAAAAAGCACAGTTTCCCCGGCTGGATAGCATGCTCAGTCACTGCCTCCCTTGGCTGGGGGGATGGGGTTCCCCTTCCCTGTGTGGTTCTCAAGTGGGCCGCAGCACCACACTGCTCTTCCTTTTCTGCATGGGTCACGCCAGCGTTCTAGTCAGTTTTGGTGAGAGAATCTGGATACCTTGGTTGCTGGTGAAGGATTCACACGTTTATTATCCTTTTTTCTGAAGAGAGCCTCCCAACCGCGCTGCTTCTAGTCAGCCATCTTGGCCCCACCGTCTGAAGTCAGCACATGCTTTTCAACGGCCCGCTTTTCAACAGCACGTGTTTACTTCATGACTCTGTGTCACATTTTGGTAATTCTCACAATATTTTAAACATTTTTATTTTTATTATATATATTATGGTGATCTGCAATCAGTGATCTTTGATTTTACTATTGTAAATGTTTTGGGGTGCCATAATTCATGACCATATGAGATGGCAAACTAGGCTGGGCGCGGTGGCTCACGCCTGTAATCCCAGCACTCTGGGAGGCCTAGGAGGGTGGATCACGAGGTCAGGAGATCGAGACCATCCTGGCTAACATGGTGAAACCCCATCTCTACTAAAAATACAAAAAATTAGCTGGGCGTGGTGGCAGGCGCCTGTAGTCCCAGCTACTCTGGAGGCTGAGGCAGAAGAATGGCATGAACCCGGGAGACGGAGCTTGCAGTGAGCTGAGATCACACCACTGCACTCCAGCCTGGGCCACAGAACGAGACTCCCTCTCAAAAAATAAATAAATAAATAATTAAAAAATAAAAAATAAAAAAAGATGGCAAACTAAATACATGTGTGTTCTTACTTCTCCACCACCATCCTTTCTCCTATCTCTTATCTCTGTCTTCTCCTCAGGCCCTTCTGTTCGCTGAGACACAATAATATTGAAATTAGGCAAATTGATAACCCTATAATGGCTTCTAGTTGTTCAAGGGAAAGAAAGAGTCACACGTTTCTCACTTTACATAAAACGTTAGAAATGATTAAGCTTAGTGAGGAAGGCATGTCAAAAACAGAGATCAGCTGAAAGCAAGGCCTCCTGTGCCAAACAGCCAAGTTGTGAATGCAAAAGCAAAAGTTCTCGAAAAAATTAAAGTGCTACTCCAGTGAACACAGGAACAATAAGAAAGGGAAACAGCCTTATTGCTGAAATGGATAGAGTTTTAGTGGTCTGGATAGATCAAACCAGCCATAATATTCCCTTAAACTTAAGCCAAAGCCTCACCCAGAGCAAAGCCCTACCACTCTTCAATTCTTTGAAGGCTGAGAAAGCTTCAGAAGAAAAGATGGAGGCTAGCAGAGGCTAGTTCACGAGATTTAAGAAAAATGGCTGTCTTTAAAACATAAAAGGACAAGACGAAGCAGTTAAGTGCTGATGGAGAAGCTGCAACAAGTTATCCAGATGATTTAAGCTAAGATCATTGGTGAATGTGGCTACACTAAAAAACAGACATTCAATATGAGTGAAACAGCCTTATATGAAAAAAGATGCCATCTAGGACTTTCATTGTTAGAAAGGAGAAGTCAACGCCTGGCTTCAAAGCAAAGGGTGGACTGACTCTTGTTACAGGTTAATGCAGCTGGTGACTTTAAATGGAAGCCAATGCTATTTACAATTTAGAAAATTCCAGGCCCCTTAAGAATGATGCTAAATCTTCTCTGCTTCTCTACAACTGCACCAAAGCCTGGATGACAGTATACCTGTTTACAGCAAGATTTACTGAATATTTTAAGTCCACTGCTGAGACCTACTGCTAAGAAAAAAAGATTTCATTCAAAATATTATTGTTCATTGATAATATACCTGAACACCCAAAAGCTCTGATGGAGATGTATAAAGAAATGAATATCCTTTTTATGCCTTCTATATTAGTCCTTTCTCACACTGCTATACTGAAATGTCTGAGACTGGGTAATTTATAAAGAAAAGAGTTGTAATTGGTTTATAGTTCTGCAGGTGTACAGGAAGCATGGCAGCATCTGCTTGGCTTCTGGGGGGGGCCTCAAGAAACTTACAGTCATGATGGAAGACAAAGGGGGAGGTATCACTTCATATGGCTGAAGCAGGAGGAAGAGAGAGGGCAGAGAGTTGATGCACACTTTTAAACACCAGATATCATGAGAACTCACTCACTCTCATGAGGACAGCAACAAGGTGATGGTGCTAAACTATTCATTACGGATTATCCCTGATGAACATCAATGCAAAAATAGTAAAACACTGGCAGCACATCAAAAAGCTTATCCTCCATGATCAAGTGGGCTTCATCCCTGGGATGCAAGGCTGGTTCAACATACGCAAAGCAATGAACGTAATCCAGCATATAAACAGAACCCCAGACAAAAACCACATGGTTATCTCAATAGATGCAGAAAAGGCCTTTGACAAAATTCAACAACCCTTCATGCTAAAAACTCTCGATAAGTTAGGTATTGATGGGACGTATCTCAAAATAATAAGAGCTATTTATGACAAACCCATAGCCAATATCATACTGAATGGGCAAAACCTGGAAGCATTCCCTTTGAAAATTGGCACAAGACAGGGATGCCCTCTCTCACCACTCCTATTCAACATAGTGTTGGAAGTTCTGGCCAGGGCAATCAGGCAGGAGAAGGAAATAAAGGGTATTCAATTAGGAAAAGAGGAAGTCAAATTGTCCCTGTTTGCAGATGACATGATTGTATATTTAGAAAACCCCATCGTCTCAGCCCAAAATCTCCTTAAGCTGATAAGCAACTTCAGCAAAGTCTCAGGATACAAAATCAATGTGCAAAAATCACAAGCATTCTTATACACCAATAACAGACAAACAGCCAAATCATGAGTGAACTCCCATTCACAATTGTTTCAAAGAGAATAAAATACCTAGGAATCCAACTTACAAGGGATGTGAAAGACCTCTTCAAGGAGAACTACAAACCACTACTCAACGAAATAAAAGAGGATACAAACAAATGGAAGAACATTCCATGCTCATGGATAGGAAGAATCAATATCATGAAAATGGCCAACCTGCCCAAGGTAATTTATAGATTCAATGCCATCCCCATCAAGCTACCAATGACTTTCTTCACAGAATTGGAAGAAACTAAAATTCATATGGAACCAAAAACAAGCCCTCATTGCCAAGTCAATCCTAAGACAAAAGAACAGAGATGGAGGCATCACACTACCTGATTTCAAACTATACTACAAGGCTACAGTAACCAAAACAGCATGGTACTGGTACCAAAACAGAGATATAGACCAATAGAACAGAACAGAGCCCTCAGAAATAATACCACACATCTACAACCATCTGATCTTTGACAAACCTGACAAAAACAAGAAATGGGGAAAGGATTCCCTATTTAATAAATGGTGCTGGGAAAACTGGCTAGACATATGTAGAAAGCTGAAACTGGATCCCTTCCTTACACCTTATACAAAAATTAATTCAAGATGGATTAAAGACTAAAATGTTAGACCTAAAACCATAAAAACCCTAGAAGAAAACCTAGGCAATACCATTCAGGACATAGGCATGGGCAACGACTTCATGTCTAAAACACCAAAAACAATGGCAACAAAAGCCAAAATTGATAAATGGGATCTAATTAAACTCAAGAGCTTCTGCACAGCAAAAGAAACTACCATCAGAGTGAACAGGCAACCTACGGAATGGGAGAAAATTTTTGCAATCTACTCTTCTGACAAAGGGCTAATATCCAGAATCTACAAAGAACTCAAACAAACTTACAAGAAAAAAACAAACAACCCCATCAAAAAGTAAGTGAAGGATATGAGCAGATACTTCTCAAAAGAAGACATTTATGCAGCCAACAGACACATGAAAAAATGCTCATCATCACTGGCCATCAGAGAAATGCAACCTACAGAACGGGAGAAAATTTTTGCAACCTACCCATCTGAAAAGGCTAACATCCAAAATCTTTTAAAAGGAACTTACACAAATTTACAAGAAAAAATCAAACAACCCCATCGTAAAGTGGGCAAAGGATATGAACAGACACTTCTCAAAAGAAGACACTTATGCAACCAAAAGACACAAGAAAAAATGCTCATCATCACTGGTCATCAGAGAAATGCAAATCAAAACCACAATGAGATACCATCTCACACCAGTTAGAATGGTGATCATTAAAAAGTCAGGAAACAACAGGTGCTGGAGAGGATGTGAAGAAATAGGAACATTTTTACACTGTTGGTGGGACTGTAAACTAGTTCAACCACTGTGGAAGACAGTGTGGCGATTCTTCAAGGATCTAGAACTAGGAATACGATTTGACCCAGTCATCCCATTACTGGGTACATACCCAAAGGATTATAACTCATGCTGCTATAAAGACACATGCACACGTATGTTTATTGTGGCACTATTCACAATAGAAAAGACTTGGAACCAACCCAAATGTCCATCAATGATAGACTGGATTAAGAAAATATGGCACATATACACCATGGAATACTATGCAGCCACAAAAAAAGATGAGTTCACGTCCTTTGTAGGGACATGGATGAAGCTGGAAACCATCATTATCAGCAAACTATCGCAAGGACAAAAAACCAAACACTGCATGTTCTCACGCATAGGTGGGAATTGAACAATGAGAACACTTGGACACAGGAAGGGGAACATCACACACTGGGGCCTGTTGTGGGGTGGGGGATGGGGGAGGGATAGCATTAGGAGATATACCTAATGTAAATGACGAGTTAATGAGTGCAGCACACCAGCATGGCACATGTATACATGTGTAACAAACCTTCAGGTTGTACACATGTACCCTAGAACTTAAAGTATAATAAAAAAAAAAAAGAAGAATGTAACATGTTGGGGAATCAGAATGAAATAAACTTAGATCAAATTAAAAAAACACAAAGCCTAGTTTAAAAAAAAATTCTGAATCTCCTCTTCTCACCCTTTCTTATGGAAAGTTCAAGCAAATAATCACAGTTTTATTCCATTTGTGGAAAATAGCTACTCGCTAAGAATAGATATGCATTGAAAAAAAGATGACTTATCTGTAATTACTTAAATATTTTACTATATTAATAATAACCTTAATGCTACAGCTAAACTGAGGAAAGAGAGAATATAGGAAAAAGAGAGGGAGAGGCAGAAATGCAGGTGAATATTATGGCCAAATGGAAGTGGCCAAAAGTCACTTGTGATTTATGCCAGAGACCAAAAGTCAGGTGTTTTTACTTGTATTTGAATAAACCCATTATGCCTAAATAAATGTTTCAACAGAAATACTTGATGTACAATTACCTCATCTAGGCTGCTGCATAAGGCAATATTCTTCATATTCTGCATTTGAAAATGGAGTTCTTATCAGGCTCACATTTTTAGCATCCTGAGTCATTAAACAATCTATCTAATTTGAGATAGCATTTTTAGAAAATAAGTACCTTGTCTGTCTTTATACCACATTATTTCAGTGGTCAGGATCCCTTAATTAGTTTTCATGAAGAAATACATGCCACACAATGTGAGTGATGTTCCATTATTACCCAAAGTTTCCTACTGTAATTTGAATTGTCATCCAAAAAAATTATAAAAATAAAATAAAAATACCTGCATTCTTGAAAAAAAAAAAAAGGATCTACCCCCATGATCCAATCACCTCCCATGAGGCCCCACCTTCAACACTGGGGATTATAATTCAACATGAGATTTGGTGGAGACACAGATCCAAACTATGTCACCTGCTGACACATTTGCAGCTCATGGATCAAGCAGTAATTTTAATTTTCAAGACTTATTATTTAAGGAATATGTTTTGTCAGGCTATAGCTGCCATTGATAGTGATTCTTCTGATCTGAGCAAAGTCAATTGAAAATCTTCTAAAAAGCGTTCACCATTCTTGATTCCATAAAGAACATTCAGATTTATGGGAGGATTTCAAAGTATCAACATTAACAGGAGTTTGGAAAAAGTTGACTCCAACCCTCATGGATGACATTGAGGAGTTCAAGACTTCAGCGGAGGAAGAAACTGCAGATGTGGTGGAAATAGCAAGGGAACTATAATGAGAGGTTACGTCTAAAGATGTGACTGAATTTCTGCAATCTCATGATAAAACTAAAATAGATGAAAAGTTGATTCTTATGGATAAATAGATAAGCAGAGAAAGTGGTTCCTTGAGATGGACTCTACGGCTGATGAAGCTGCTATGAACATTGTTGAAAAGACAAAAACGTTTAAAATATTACATAAACTTAAACAAGCTGTTACAGAGTTTGAGAGGATTGACTCCAACTTTGAAAGTTCTACTGTGGGTAAAATGCTATCAAACAGCATCACATGCTACTGATAAATCTTTCATTGAAAAGTCAGTTAATAAGAAGATTCAATTACTGCAGGAAGCTTCATTATTGTCTTATTTTAAGAAAGACACAATGCCACAGCCACCTTAAACTTCAGTATCCAGAACCCTGATCAGTCGGCACCCATCAACATCGAGGCAAAACCCTTCACCAGCAAAAAGACTACAATTTGCCGAAGGCTCATATGATCATTAGCATTTTCTAGCAATAAAATATTTCTGAAGTTATGTACATTTTTTAGGTATAATGCTACTGCACACACAATAAACCCCAGTATAGTGTCAACATAATTTTTATATGCACTGGGAAACCAAAAACTTTGTGTGACTTGCCTTATTGAGACATTCACTTTATTGCAGTGGTCTGGAACTAAATCTACAATATCTCTGATGTATGCCTGTATTAAACATTTATCATCAGCAAACCAGTGAACAGACCTAGAACCACACACTGAAATATAATACACTGAATTAATACAAAAGGAGCCATGTTTATGAATTAATAGAATAAGAAATTGCTTAAGTATGGGTCACATTTATATAGTAAGATTTGTAACTGTTAATGAGCTGCTTTAGTATGGCACAATCAAAAAGCTATTTTATTCTTTCTCCCTTTGCTCCTTCAATACCTCTCTAAAATCTAGTTGTTTCCTTAATCCCTTTAATTAAGTCATTTGGCCTTTATAGCACATCTGAATCACAAGGGTAATCTCATTCCAATAATTAAAATTTCCAGTCCAATCTAACATAATATTATGACTTCAAGATGAATTCAATATAAACACATCTCTAGACCTAACTCAGGTCAGCTTCAGACTTAGAAGCCTGAAGAATGAGAAGGAAGTATATGAAAAAGTAATAATAATAGTAAATAAGTAAACAAAAAAACCTTCTGACAGTGTATAAAAGGGTATCCAAATTTTATTACAATCTTGCTATAAGAAAGAAGGCCTTTAGCAGACTAATTCTGCAATTTTCTCTTGGAAGGAACATTTTATAAGCAAAGAACATGGCCTGAAAATTATTAGACTATTAGACTAAACCGAAATTGAAAAGAATGAATAAGGTCCACTAGGTGAATAATAGTCAGTGGAGTAGGTGGGTGAAGGGTAAATGATTTCCCAAAACAAGTCTTAATCCCATTAAATGTGAGAAAATGGTTTAAGCACTTTATGGGGAATACTGATTATTTATCACAGGAAATTACAAATCTCATTACACAAAAATATTGTTTTTTAGACAAGTTTGGGGGTTATTTTTCATTCAGAGAAGTTAACATCTTTTCACTCCTACTTTCTCTATGCTACTATCATTGACAGAGGGAAAAGAGATTAAATGAAAAAGGCACAAATATGTGCCTGGAAAGGTTGTGATCTATCCATGGTGTCCTCTTGGGTTTCGTAAATGTTTGCAGCTCACACTTTCTCCTATGAGTCACGCTGATGCATCCATGTGATAGTCCTTCACTGGGAACTTCCATCTGCAAGCATTGACCAGAGCGACATACTCCATCTGGCTGCTTTTGACTCCCCCTCATCATCTGGGCTTCTGAAGTTCTGTTCTTTTTTTACTGGGTCACTCTACCCATCTTGATAGTCATTTGGAAGAAAGCTCCAGAAAGGATTCCACCCACATAGTCCATATCTGGTCCATGGGTAATAACAACTTTGGCCCCACCACTGATGGTGAAAGTACAGTTGACTTCTGATTTATTCCTCTCTTTTCTCTTCTCTGCTGCCTCAGGCCAATCTAGGCACAGCATTTCATCTTAACCTTGATATTCTCTTAAATTCTGAAGGCACCTGTCCATATTTCTGAGTAGTTCTCTTGAAGTCTTTCTTACATAAAGTGGAGGAATCCCACACATGCACTCGTCTCTCATATTTAGGAGCGGGAGGTCAGTGCAGGATATGTCATCACACTCCAACAATTCTCCCTAACGGAATCCTCTCCTTATACTCATTAACTCATTAATCCCCACTCTTTTACGGACGGAGGTAGAGGACTTCTTATATTGGCAGAATCAGTTTTCCAGACATTTATCTCATCCTATATAACTCACTTTAAGTTATGTAAATACTTACACCTATTGTATGTTTCTTGGACTTTGATATTTTAACTGAAACTCAGAAGAAGAAAGAGTCCGCCGAGGCGGGCGGATCACGAGGTCAGGAGGTCGAGACCATCCTGGCTAACATGGTGAAACCCCGTCTCTACTAAAAAATCCAAAAAAATAGCCGGGCGTGGTGGCCGGCGCCTGTAGTCCCAGCTACTGGGGAGGCTGAGGCAGGAGAATGGCGTGAACCCGGGAGGCAGATCTTGCAGTGAGCCAAGATCTTGCCACTGCACTCCAGCCTGGACGACAGAGCAAGACTCCGTCTCAAAAAAAAGAAGAAAGAGAGGAAGATCTACCAAGCAAATGGAAAACAAAAAAAGGCAGGGGTTGCAATCCTAGTCTCTGATAAAACAGACTTTAAACCAACAAAGATCAAAAGAGACAAAGAAGACCATTACATAATGGTAAAGGGATCAATTCAACAAGAAGAACTAACTATCCTAAATATATATGCACCCAATGCCGGAGCACCCAGATTCATAAAGCAAGTCCTGAGTGACCTACAAAGAGACTTAGACTCCCACACAAAAATAATGGGAGACTTTAACACCCCACTGTCAATATTAGACAGATCAATGAGACAGAAAGTTAACAAGGATATCCAGGAATTCAACTCAGCTCTGTACCAAGCGGACCTAATAGACATCTACAGAACTCTCCACCCCAAATCAACAGAATATACATTTTTTTCAGCACCACACTACACCTATTCCAAAATTGACCACATAGTTGGAAGTAAAACTCTCCTCAGCAAATGTAAAAGAACAGAAATTATAACAAACTGTCTCTCAGACCACAGTGCAATCAAACTAGAACTCAGGATTAAGAAACTCCCTCAAAACCGCTCAGCTACATGGAAACTGAACAGCCTGCTCCTGAATGACTACTGGGTACATAACGAAATGAAGGCAGAAATAAAGATGTTCTTTGAAACCAACGAGAACAAAGACACAACATACCAGAATCTCTGGGACACATTCAAAGCAGTGTGTAGAGGGAAATTTATAGCACTAAATGCCCACAAGAGAAAGCAGGAAAGATCTAAAATTGACACCCTAACATCACAATTAAAAGAACTAGAGAAGCAAGAGCAAACACATTCAAAAGCTAGCAGAAGGCAAGAAATAACTAAGATCAGAGCAGAACTGAAGGAAATAGAGACACAAAAAACCCTTCAAAAAATTAATGAATCCAGGAGCTGATTTTTCAAAAAGATCAACAAAATTGATAGACCGCTAGCAAGACTAATAAAGAAGAAAGGAGAGAAGAATCAAATAGACAAAATAAAAAATGACAAAGGGGATATCACCACCGATCCCACAGAAATACAACCTACCATCAGAGAATACTATAAACACTTCTACGCAAACAAACTAGAAAATCTAGAAGAAATGGATAAATTCCTCAACACATACACTCTCCCAAGACTAAACCAGGAAGAAGTTGAATCTCTGAATAGACCAATAACAGGCTCTTAGATTGAGGCAATAATTAATAGCTTACCAACCAAAAAAGGTCCAGGACCAGATGGATTCACACCCGAATTCTACCAGAGGTACAAGGAGGAGCTGGTATCATTCCTTCTGAAACTATTCCAATCAATAGAAAAAGAGGGAATCCTCTCTAACTCATTTTATGAGGCCAGCATCATCCTGATACCAAAGCCTGGCAGAGACACAACCAAAAAAGAGAATTTTAGACCAATATCCTTGATGAACGTCCATGCAAAAATCCTCAATAAAATACTGGCAAACCGAATCCAGCAACACATCAAAAAGCTTATCCACCATGATCAAGTGGGCTTCATCCCTGGGATGCAAGGCTGGTTCAACATACGCAGATCAATAAACGTAATCCAGCATATAAACAGAACCAAAGACAAAAACCACATGATTATCTCAATAGATGCAGAAAAGGCCTTTGACAAAATTCAACAACCCTTCATGCTAAAAACTCTCAATAAATTAGGTATTGGTGGGATGTATCTCAAAATAATAAGAGCTATCTATGACAAACCCACAGCCAATATCATACTGAATGGGCAAAAACTGGAAGCATTCCCTTTGAAAACTGGCACAAGACAGGGATGCCCTCTCTCATCACTCCTATTCAACATAGTGTTGGAAGTGCTGGCCAGGGCAATCAGGCAGGAGAAGGAAATAAAGGGCACTCAATTAGGAAAATTGCACCCATTTTCAAAGCCAGCTCAGACATCATCTGTACTGAAAAGCATTTGTAGAGCCCCAAAGTCAGGTTCAATTATTTCTTCTCTCTACTACTCTAGAGTTTATTGCAGTATATCCCATAAAAGTCTGTGAGGTACATGTCAGTTTCCCTCACTGAAATCATGCTCCTTTGCCATGTCTTGTTTATTCATTTTTCTTTACCTCCCTCCTTCTATCTAACAGATTGTCATACACATAGTAGGCACTCAGCAAATTTTGTTTAACTCAGTTGAGTGCATCTCTTCATTCTCTAATTTTGTATCCTACCCAGGATACAAAATCAATGTACAAAAATCACAAGGATTCTTATACACCAATAACAGACAAACAGAGAGCCAAATCATGAGTGAACTCCCATTCACAATTGCTTCAAACAGAATAAAATACCTAGGAATCCAACTTACAAGGGATATGAAGGACCTCTTCAAGGAGAACTACAAATCACTGCTCAATGAAATAAAAGAGGATACAAACAAATGGAAGAATATTCCATGCTCATGGGTAGGAAGAATCAATATCATGAAAATGGCCATATTGCCCAAGGTTATTTATAGATTCAATGCCATCCCCATCAAGCTACCAATGACTTTCTTCACAGAATTGGAAAAAACTACTTTAAAGTTCATATGGAACCAAAAAACAAGCCCGCATTGCCAAGTCAATCCTAAGCCAAAAGAACAAAGCTGGAGGCATCAGCTACCTGACTTCAAACTATACTACAAGGCTACAGTAACCAAAACAGCATGGTACTGGTACCAAAACAGAGATATAGATAAATGGAACACAACAGAGCCCTCAGAAATAATGCTGCATATCTACAACTATCTGATCTTTGACAAACCTGACAAAAACAAGCAATGGGGAAAGGATTCCCTATTTAATAAATGGTGCTGGGAAAACTGGCTAGCCATATGTAGAAAGCTGAAACTCGATCCCTTCCTTACACCTTATACAAAAATTTATTCAAGATAGATTAAAGACTATAATGTTAGACCTAAAACCATAAAAACCCTAGAAGAAAACCTAGGCAATACCATTCAGGACATAGGCATGGGCAAGGACTTCATGTCTAAAACACCAAAAGCAATGGCAACAAAAGACAAAATTGACAAATGGGATCTAATTAAACTCAAGAGCTTCTGCACAGCAAAAGAAACCACCATCAGAGTGAACAGGCAACCTACAGAATGGGAGAAAATTTTTGCAACCTACTCATCTGACAAAGAGTTAATATCCAGAATCTACAAAGAACTCAAACACATTTACAAGAAATAAACAAACAACCCCATCAACATGTGGGCGAAGGATATGAATAGACACTTCTCAAAAGAAGAAATTTATGCAGCCAAAAAACACATGAAAAAATGCTCATCATCACTGGCCATCAGAGAAATGCAAATCAAAACCACAATGAGATACCATCTCACACCAGTTAGAATGGCGATCATTAAAAAGTCAGGAAACAACAGGTGCTGGAGAGGATGTGGAGAAATAGGAACACTTTTACACTGTTGGTGGCACTGTAAACTAGTTCAACCATTGTGGAAGTTGGTGTGGTGATTCCTCAGGGATCTAGAACTAGAAATACCATTTGCCCCAGCCATCCCATTACTGGGTATATACCCAAAGGATTATAACTCATGCTGCTATAAAGACACATGCACACGTATGTTTATTGCGGCACGATTCACAATAGCAAAGACTTGGAACCAACCCAAGTGTCCAACAATGATAGACTGGATTAAGAAAATGTGGCACATATACACCAGGAATACTATGCAGCCAGAAAAAATGAAGAGTTCATGTCCTTTGTAGGGACATGGATGAAGCTGGAAACCATCACTCTCAGCAAACTACCACACGGACAAAAAAAACCAAACACCGCATGTTCTCACTCATAGATGGGAATTGAACAATGAGAACACATGGACACAGGAAGGGGAACATCACACACTGGGGACTGTTGTGGGGTGGGGGGAGGGGGGAGGGATAGCATTAGGAGATATACCTAATGCTAAATGACGAGTTAATGGGTGCAGCACACCAACATGGCACATGTATACATATGTAACAAACCTGCACATTGTGCACATGTATCCTAAAACTTAAAGTATAATAATCATTAAAAAAAAAGAAGAAGAAAGAGTCCTTTTTTAACATCGCAGAGTAAAAGTGAAGGAGAAGAAAAACAGCTAAGTTGGAAAGGCAACAGAAGATGTTTTACAAAAGTGAGACTTTTAAAGGAAATTAGAAAATAAGCAGAGGATGTTCAGCAGAACTGCTTCCAATCTATTTGCTAGAATTTCTACTCAAACCTGAAAACCCACAGGAAAACAATGAAAGATATTTACAGACAAGAAACAAGTTATAGGAGAAATTGTGCCCTCAGCAATCTCATTTATTCATGTATTCATTCCCTCAATAGACATTTATTGAGTGCCTACTACGTTTGGCAGAGGAAATGGAGAGGTGAAAATGGCATAACACTTGCTTCACATAAAGAGTTGATCATTTCATGACAGAGACAGAATGCAATGAGGTGTGCCTACAAGGAAAATGGAGTAAGACAAATAAGTTGAAGCTTCAATTACTGGCTTGTAAGAGATTATCAGTAATCAAAACTGACATGAAATAAACTAAGAGGAAACAACATCTTAAAGAGACAACTGAAAAAATTATGTGAAATTTTGGTAAGTTCTAAGAAAGGGAAAGGCAAGTTGAAGACTTAATTTATCTTTCAATTCTCTGTTGGCCTACAAAATTTGATTGGTTTTCATTTTTATGAATGAAGAGCTGCACAAATGCTAGACAGCTTTAAATAAATAAAGAAGAGAACACGAAAAATCTAAGAACTTTTTAGCCCATTTGTTTATAGATAATCCAACTGGGGAAAAATACTGAGAGTTTCCTTTTAGAAAACAAAATACTCTATTTAAAACAAACAAACAAACATGAGATTACTAAAAGAAATCCAGAGTCAAAAAGAATTATACCTAACAAGATATTAAATTCAATGGAAACAAGATTCAAATGGTCAATGCAGATCATCATTTTTCAAAACAGCAAAAGCCACTTGGCAACATTTAACTAGAGGCAAGGTAGACATAATTACCACAACAAGCCTCAAAGATAGAATAGCACCCATGAGTCCTGACCTTCATGACTCCATAGATGTGTTATAATCCAGAGTGTTCCTGTGGGCAAGATGGGTAGTCAGGCAACACAAGCAATACAAGTGTATTGCTCATGCTATAGAACCAAAACAGATCAAGAGTAGGTAAGAAAAAGGCATAGACAGTCACGGTGGCAGATACAGAGGTTATGAATGGCTCAACAGCAAGACATACAGCTCACCATGGCTTATCTAGTTACTGCAAGTGTTTAATGTCCAACCAAGAAAAACGGATCAACACTGAGTCCCCTCCTCTATGAAACTACTGCTCAGGGAAACCAACAAGCAACTTGAGAACAAACAACAGCAATTCATTTTGACAAGAATCAACACTTCTTCGAGATTTGGGTTTGGCTTTCCTGCCTACAGTAACTTGCTTTTAACATTTTAAGGGCTCACATAGTATCTGATTTGCATCATGGGATCCTGCATATATTATATGCAGCCAAATAATCCACTTTTCACTTCAAGAGATGCCACCATGAGTCTATGATTAAATTTTTTTTAACAATTTATCGAATTACCCAGAAACAGCTGCTACCTACAACCTTAGAATGGCCTCTGAAAGGCTCAATTAGTAAGGCATTAGTTTGGAGATGTTATCATGCAATGTTGGGACATTGTCATTCAATATGCTTTATATACTTTAAATGAATAGCTATTATATGCATCCTTGAAAAGTAGAGTATACACATCTGGAACTTCACTCATGGAATTAGAAGTAGCTGCTTCACCATTACTCACCCTTGGGAAATTTGTGCTTTCATCAAGCTCTGCCGAACTAGAGGTCCTGGTTCCAGGGAAGAGATGTCTCTAACAGAAGACATGCTAAGGCATCCACTAAACTTTAAGTTAGGGCTAGGCTACTGTCTGGTGCTTTTAGTACCAGTAGACAAGCAGTTTAAAAAAAAACAGATTTAATATAAAGGCAGGCAGAAGAAATTGATCCTGATTATTATGAGCAGACAATGCTACTGCTTCACAGCAGAGAAGGGATGAGTATATCTGAAATTCAAAAGGTTGACTGGTTTTCTTGGTGCTTCTAAACGCTAAATGTGAATTTGCCAAATAAGGCATGGTAACCACGAGTTCCAATCACTTAAGATGAAGCTCCAGAAACAGATCTTACCACAAGGATTCTTGTGAAAATTTATTTATTAGGGAGATTTTCCTAGGAAAAACTAGTAATAGAGTACATTAAATGGGACTGGGAATGGATGAAGGCCAGTCAAGGGTATGATGCCAGGCAAAGATCCATGGAGAGAAAGTTTTTCATTCCATAAGAGAGCCCCAGGGACAGTATATGTTATATCTCAGAGTGGTACTGAACAAAGGTAAGAGAATTGGAATACTTATATCTTTTCACCTGCCAGTCATTGGTTAAGAGATGCCCCCCATGTGGACGTAAACTCCCATCCACTTCCGAGTCTCCTTTTCTATAGGCAAAGTGGGTTCCAGCAGCCTGACAATTGAGCAGTGACGATATAATGCAGGTACTGACTGTTGGACATGAAAGAACATTCAGAGGCAGCATGCACAAAAAACATAATGAAGGACAGAAGGGGATGTTGGCAAAGCAACTGCTACAGTCTGTCTAGGTTACACCACTGGGCAAGCAACAGAGAAGTGTTAGGTGATGGTGTGAGGTAATTTAGAATCCATGGTAGAGAAGGGAAATAACAAATATCATTCATAACCTTGGGATAATTGGAAGTAGCAGAGACTAAAGCTTGAAGTTCAATCTCCCAATCTTTGTAGTATAAGTAAGGCCTTTTTCTTTTTTAAGAAATTGTGACCAGCCACCACCTGGACAAATGGAATCTGAGCATGCAAGGAATAGGCTGTAGCAAATAAAGTGAGTGCCCTACCCATATTCCTTGAGTCTTTCAATTAGAGTGCTGTTTGGAAATCTTCCAACTGCCAGGATCTGCATCTGTGTGTCTGAAAGCTTATTCTAGATCTCTACAAAACAGTTCTGTTCACAGGTGCAGCAGGCTGGAAATGTCAGGAAATTAACACTTTTTCTCCTTCTCTTTCTTGCTAGAAAGAAGTATCCTTCAACCAACTCTGATTTATAAATATCACTCTCTCTTGCTCTTCTGATGGATAATTCTGAAGCATGCATTTTACACAGTTTCCCAGTTTCACTGTAGAATTAAGCTTCAATCCTTCATCGTGGTAGCCATTTTAAAGTTGTATGTTTTTTCTAGAGGGTTTTCTTCATTTTCTCACTTCCTTATTCCTCTGCTGATGTTTCCTACCCCTTCTAAATAAACTACTTACACTCAAAACCTGTCTTAGGGTCTGGTTCTGGGGGAATTCAAACTATAATACCCTTTAAGCTAAAGTTTTTATCTAGACCAATTATATAAACACATGGAGTCTTGAGAGAATGATGTGGGAAGAATCTTTGGAGACAGATATTAGAGTGCTGTGAGTGTTACCTGTTGAATAGAGAGAAAGCATAAAGGTGCCTCCTTCTTCACCTGAAGTATATTAAGAAGGGCTACAGGGATGAACAAGTTGGTTTGTGTTTTCTGCAATTTAGAGACACCGGGGACTGAACCATCTGAAAAAACTGAGAAGAGATGGGCTGCTAGTTCCCTCATCCAAAGAGATATAGCTACCCTTTTCAGAGCAAAAACTACTTTAATATGTGAACAAGACATGGGCCATGAAGTAGTAAAGCTAGCTCAAAGTAAGCTTCTTTCCAGTAGAAATGCTAATGGGGAAGGGCAAATGGTCTCCAACAGAGAGTGTCTGCTTGGAGAGCACTGCTGGAAAGCCAGGAGCTGAGGAGTGAGCCAACAGCTGGAGGAATAGTGTGCATATAAGGGACACTATAAGATTTATAATCAAAGGGACCTAAGAGAAGTTTCCAAAGAATCCATGGTAAGCATAATCTAGGCCTAGAGGTAATGATGGCAGTTTATAACCCATACCAGTAAAATAAAAACTTTCTTTTCTTCTTTTTCTTTTCTTCCTTCCTCCAAACTCCAGAAGGTCAGAAACAGCAGCTTGCAAGTGGTAGAGTAGCCTAGCAAGAAAGAGAAAAGAAACCCATTTCATACTTTTCTATAGTGGACAGGAAGTCTACAGGCTTTACCTTTGACCTGGACTGGACATTCTGTTTTTTTGTTTGTTTGTTTGTTTTTAAAATAAAAACTGAGTTTTAAAATTTGAAGATGGCATTGAACTTTTTATTGCCTAAGATAACCCAGAAACCTCACAGGACTTATTACTGGTTGAATTGTGGCCCTCCAAAAGTTATGTTGAAGTCTTAACCCTGAAATCTGTTCATGTGATCTGATTTGGAAATAGTATCTGTACAGATGTAATCAAGTCAAGAAGAAGTCATTAGGGTTGGCCCTAATTCAGTAAATTAGTGTCCTTTTCTTATAAGAGGAAAACACCATGCGAAGACAGACATAGGACCAGTGATGATGGAAGCAAAGATTGGAGTGATGCATCTCTATAAGCTAAGGAGCTCCAAGAATTACTGGAAAACTACCAGAAACTAGGAAGAGTCAAGGGACAATTTCTCTACAGGGAAGGATTCCTCTTCAGAGGAAGCATAGCCCTGAGAACACCTTGATTCTGGACTTCTAGCCTCCAGAAGAGTGAGATAATACACTTTGCTGTTCTAAGCCACCTAGTTTCTGGTATTTAGTTACGGCAGCCCTGCGAAGCTAATTCAGGACCTGCCAGAGTTTTCAAATCTTTGCAGGAAAAAAACTTTTCTTGCTAAATAAATGTTAAAAGCACAAGGAGAACAATCTAAAAATAAAATTAAGAAAACAGTTCCATTTACAATAACATCAAGAATAATAAAATATTTAGTAATACATTTATAAAAGAGGTTCAAGACATGTACACTGAAAATTACAAAACATCATTGAAAGAATAAGATATACATACATAAAAAGAAATCTCATATTCAGTGTTTGAGAGCACAAAAAATATTCAGATGGTAATGTAGTCTCTGTCAAAACCTTAGCTGAATTTTTTTTTGCAGAAATTGAAAACCTTATTTTAAAATTTATATGGAAATTCAAGGGACTCAGAATACCCAAAACAATCTTGAAAAAGAAGAAAGTTAGAAGATTCACACTTCCTGATTCCAAAACTTATTACAAAGCTACAGAAGTCAAGACAGTGTGGTACTGACATAAAGATAGACATAAAGATCAATGGACTAGAATTGAAAGTCCAGAAATAAACTCTTACATTTATAATGAATTAATTTTAGACAGGGGTACCTAGACAATCAAATTTAGGAAGAATAGTCTTTTCAACCAATTGTGCTGAGACAGCTGGATATCCATCTACAAAAACATAAAGCTGGATTCCTATCTTTCACTACATAATAAAATCAGTATTACAATAGGTAGAACACTTAACCAGGAGATTTGCAGGTATCTCAAAGGGTAGGCAGAAAAGGGTTTTGTTTTTTTTTTTTATAGGGAGGAGTGAACAAGGCTAGAAAGAATCAGTATAAGTGGGATAAACAAGAGGGGTGGGATAAAATGGTAAATCAGGGCATGTTCTACTCTGAGGTCAGACTAATCTCAGGAGGGACTGATAAGGAGGACTGGCCCAGGCTGGGAATGGATCAACATTCAGGCATCCGGGAAAGATGATAAACTTAACCAAAATTTTTCATTAACAAGCATTTTGTTTTAATTCATCACTGGAGACAAAACAGTTCAGCTAACATTTATGATGCGAAGGACGGACATTTGGAGGGTGTGTTTCTGGCATTAATAGGTAACTAAGGGGACATGTGTGATCCTTTTCTAGTTACGTGGTGAAAGAGGGCTGTTCTTTGCAGTCATTTCTCAGAACACAAAAGGGTAAGAGTATTTACGTTAAGGTGTAAGGAAGGGATTCAGTTTCAGCTTTCTACATATAGCTTCTTACACCTTATACAAAAATTAATTCAAGATGGATTAAAGACTTAAATGTTAGACCTAAAACCATAAAAACCCTAGAAGAAAACCTAGGCAATACCATTCAGGACATAGGCATGGGCAAGGACTTCATGTCTAAAACACCAAAAGCAATGGCAACAAAAGCCAAAATTGACAAATGGGATCTAATTAAACTCAAGAGCTTCTGCACAGCAAAAGAAACCACCATCACAGTGAACAGGCAACCTACAGAATGGGAGAAAAATTTTGCAATCTACTCATCTGACAAAGGGCTAATATCCAGAATCTACAAAGAACTCAAACAAACTTACAAGAAATAAACAAACAACCCCATCAACATGTAGGCGAAGGATATGAACAGACACTTTTCAACAGAAGACATTTATGCAGCCAACAGACACATGAAAAAATGCTCATCCTCACTGGCCATCAGAGAAATGCAAATCAAAACCACAATGAGGTATCATCTCACACCAGTTAGAATGGCGATCATTAAAAAGTCAGGAAACAACAGGTGCTGGAGAGGATGTGGAGAAATAGGAACAGTTTTACACTGTTGGTGGGACTGTAAATTAGTTCAACCATTGTGGAAGTCAGTGTGGCGATTCCTCAGGGATCTAGAACAAGAAATACCATTTGACCCAGCCATGCCATTACTGGGTATATACCCAAAGGAATATAAATCATGCTACTTCAAAGACATATGCACGCGTATGTTTATTGCGGCATTACAATAGCAAAGACTTGGAACCTACCCAAATGTCCAACAATGATAGACTGGATTAAGAAAATGTGGCACATATACACCATGGAAACTATGCAGCCATAAAAAAGGATGAGTTCATGTCCTTTGTAGGGACACGGGTGAAGCTGGAAACCATCATTCTGAGCAAACTATCGCAAGGACAAAAAACCAAACACCGCATGTTCTCACTCATAGGTGGGAATTGAACAATGAGAACACTTGGACATAGGAAGGGGAACATCACACACCAAGGCCTGTCGTGGGGTTGGTGGCAGAGCGGGGATAGCATTAGGAGATATACCTAATGTAAATGACAAGTTAATGGGTGCAGCACACCAACATGGCACATGTATACATATGTAACAAACCTGCACATTGTGCACATGTACCCTAGAACTTAAAGTATAATAATATATATATTATTTATATATAAATATAATATATATATAAATATATATATAAATATATATATAAATATATATATAAATATATATATAAAGAGTATTTACGTTATTACTATATATTTTCCAGGAGGACAAGGCTTAGTAAAATTCAACACTGTGATTACTTAAATGCAAAGATTGCTAATTTCAGCTTCCCAGCAGAAGGGAAAGGGAGAAAGCCACAATTTTATAGAATTCTGAGACCCAGAACCCCTAAGCAAAGGTGTACACAGGAGCAAAGAATGAATGAGCTCCAAGAGCAGAGCTGGCTGGAGGAGAACCTAGTCATGTGTCATCCCTAACTCTCTAAGCAAGTCAAAGAACCCCCAAATCAGTAAAAGGAGACAATCCAATTAAAATATCGTAGACTCAGAGTAGAAAAATACCTACTAGCCATTGCATACTAAACAGGGGAGAAACTATGAACCTGATTTTCAGAATTAGATCAGAAAAGTGAGGCTGCTCATAACCAAGTTATTATTTGAAGGGCTAAGGACACATCATCAGCCTTGCCAAGGCTGTTCATTAATGGTAAGTCTAGGTAGCACTCACTCCTAGAATGTGTAACAAGAAGGAAAAATGAAGAATGTGGAAAATTCCAGACCAAGACTCATTTCACTCCAGCCTGGTGACAGAGTGAAACTCCGTCTCAAAAAAAAAAAAAAAAAAAAAAGAAAGAAAGAAAAGAAAAATAATGGCAGTGAAAATGACTTTCTTCAAGAAATGCATGAAAATTAAGAAAGAAAACCACTGGTTGGCACTCTTGATATTTTTAAAAATCATAATACAGTTTTAATAAAATTCAAGAACCTTAGCCTTCAGGATAATATAAGAAAAATCCAGCCAGGGACAGTGGCTATAATCCCAGCACTTTGGGAGGCCGAAGTGGGTGGATCACCTGAGGTCAGGAGTTCGAGATCAGTCTGGCCGACATGGTGAAACCCCGTCTCTACTAAAAATACAAAAATTAGCTGGGCATGGTGGTGCGTGCCTGTAATCCCAGCTACTCGGGAGGCTGAGGCAGGAGAATTGCTTGAACCTGGGAGGCAGAAGTTGCAGTGAGCTGAGATCGTGCCATTGCACTCCAACCTGGGTGACAAGAGAGAAACTATGTCTCAATTAAAAAAAAAAAAAAGGAAAAGAAAAATTATAGATAAGAGTAGAATTGCATGAAAAAGACAAACGGGGACTTTAAAATTCAATTACAATTTAAATGTTAGCTGAAGGCTGTAAAAACAAAACATAGCCTAAAAATTGAATTTCTAGTGTGAAAGACAAAAACATAGCACTCATTAAGAATGCAGAGAGAAAAGACAAACACAACATAAGAAATAATTTTAAGCTAGAAATCATAGATGTTAAAATGGAAGACTAATATTCAGAGATACAATAGGATAAAAATTTTCTCAAATAACGAAAAGGGAGATTCTTCAATCCAAAGGAGCCTGAGGTTACAAGTAATTTCAGTGAAATAAAAAGTCAGACTCGGACCTAACCTAGTAATTTTTTACTTAAATGTTAATTTTGTTTTAACCTTCAAATCATTCATGCAGATTTTTTCAAATAAATTTTTTTTAAAAAATTACAAAAGAGGTAGAGAAAAAGGGGAAGAAAGAATAACCACAATCAAGAATTAGAAAGAAGATGGAAGATAAAAGTGAAAGTTTGGGTTTTGTTGAAGATGTGCTATCATTCCTTTTTTTTAACACGAATATAAAATAGTTGCACAATAATATTTTGGTAAAAAGGGAAACGTTCAAAAGCTGATCTAAGTTTGAACTCCAAAAACAAATTATGGACTAAAATATAATAATATGTATCATAACATTTAACTTCAAATAACATTCACCTTCAAATAACATTCCTAATATAGATAGCAATTTAAACCAGCTCCTTTAAATTTTTGAGTAGCTGAAAATTCAAAAAGATGTAATCATCTCTGAGTTATGCAAAATTATGGAAAACTGTTTTAAGTCATTTTATCCATGAGCTTAATATCACACATACACATACGCATGCACACACACACACACAATAGTTTCCAATTTCACTAATAATAATAGGAACTAATTTCACCAAAAACACTGATAATATTTAGGTATGCTTCTTTGGGTTGCAATTTTTTTTTTCTAGAAACTACTGAAACAACAAAAGAAAAAATGAGGCATAATAGCTCCACCCTTTGTCAAAGAGGATACAATTATCAGAAATAAAGGGGAAAGGTGTATCTATAAGCATATTCATTGCATTATTATTTAACAAGAGTAATTAAAAATTAGAAACAACTGTAATCAAACAATTGACATATATTACTTTTTATCTTTAAAGCTTTTGTTAATTTTGTTTTATTAAGTTCCGGGGTACATGTGCAGGACATGCAGGCTTGTTACATAGGTAAATGTGTGCCATGGTGATTTGCTGCACCTGTCAACCCATCACCTAGGTATTAAGCCCAGCATGCATTAGCTATTTTTCCTGATGCTCTTACTCCCTCTTCCTCCCCTCCCCCAACAGGCCCCAGTATGTGTTGTTCCCCTCCCTGGTCCATGTGCCCTCATCCTTCAGCTTCCATTTATAAGTGAGAACATGCAGTTTTTGGTTTTCTCTTCCTGTGCTAGTTTGCTGAGGATAATGGCTTCCAGCTCCATCCAGTGTCCCTGAAAAGGACATACTCTCATTCCTTTTTATGGCTGCATAGTATTCCATGGTGTATATGTACTGCATTTTCTTTATCCAGTCTAACATTGATGGGCATTTTGGTTGATTCAATGTCTTTGCTATTGTAAATAGTGCTGCAATGAACATATATGTGCATGTATCTTTATAATATTAATAGAATGATTTCTATTCCTTTGGGTATATACCCATTAATGGGATTGCTGGGTCAAATGACATTTCTGGTTCTAGGTCTTTAAGGAATTGCCACACTGGATAGAGCTGGAATCCATTATCCTCAGCAAACTAACTCAGCAACAGAAAACCAAATACCACATGTTCTCACTTATAAGTGGGAGCTGAAAGATGAGAATACATGGATACAGGGAGGGGAACAACACACACTGCGGCCTGTTGGTTGGGGAAGAAGTGGGAGGGAGAGCATCAGGAAAAATAGCTAATGCATGCTGGGCTTAATACCTAGGTAATGGTATTACCCACTCCTGAGTCATACAGGTGATACTCCAGGCCCGGAATAGGTTTCCCCTGTGCCAACACCTAGCTCAATATTATTCATAATTTTCATGTCCTTTTTCACAAATCACAGCCATCCAAAAGCCTGTTCAGACTATTAGATCAAATGCATACATGTATTTTACAATATTTATCTGTGCATATAAATCTATGCTTTGGCTAGAAGACTTACCGAAATTAGTTTTTTAAATTCGTGTTTTATATATTTATATAAACTTCACAAATCCACTACATCATAAGCACTAAGATACTGAAATGAAATATTTGTTTAAAAAATATCAGTGAAAACAGAGCAACCATGTGTATTTATAATCTATTGGGGGAAAGAAATCAAGCATTTATATTTAGACTAGAAATGCATGTGCAAGCTTCAATATTTTCAGAAATATTTTCCTCTGTTTTCAGCTTCTTTGGTAATGAGCAAATAAAGCATCCTGTCACCTAAAATATAAAGGTAAGGGATTTGGAAACAAGACATGCCACGTGAGCATTTTTTCTATGTAATGCCAGAGTCAAATCTACAGAGAAGAAAGGAGGCTTATAATGACACATAAGTAGTTGTGAGAAAAGACATCACCAGCAGTTTCCTGACAGAAAGACTGAGATTTAATCACCCGAAGCTGCTTTTGCAGCCACTGCTGAGGCATGTTAGCTTCACTGTCAGGGAGCAGGATGCCTGTCAAGACCGCAGTAAAGCAAACGGAATCGCTGCCAACGTGCTGCCTACAGACAGCAGATGAGCCTCATACGCCATTTATTTTACTTCTGCACATTTTGATCTTGTGTTATGTTATCTATAGAAAACACCAAGCCTGTATATCACTACAAAGGAACATCAAGAGAGAAAAGATTGTTATTAAGCCTATGAAAAGGGAGAGAAAAAAAGTTCCTTTGGAGTTATTTAAGATACTCAACAGAATCCTGCTGAGCAAAGCAGAGATTCATTTTAATCATAACTTCAAAAGCTATTGGCTTTTAAAGGCATATAATTAAAAATTTTGACTTGGAAGGAGGGATGAGATAATGAGCTTTATATATTATGTGTATTACAGTAATAGTTCCATATGTAGAGAGGCTCCTTAAGTCAGCTAAGTCAGTATTGGTTCCACAGGTAAGAATGTCCCTTAAATCACACTGCTTATGTGACCTTGAGCAAGTAAGGTCACCTCTGTGTTAATCTGTGTGGAAAGAGTACTAACAGATTAACTTTTTTCCATTCCATACAGCTAGAGTAAATTTCCAGATTATCACATTTTATACTTCGTATCACCCTTTTGATTAATTATCATTATAATTGTTTAATAAATATTTGTTATTAAAATACTATATAAAATAAAAATGATTGTGTGGTCTCATGTTCACCCTTACTGGAAAAATGTGAGGCTACATAGATGATTGGAAGAAGGCAAAAGAGGACTATTGTCACAGCATTGGAAAAAGGACTAACTAAATGTAGAATTTTCATTAGTTTTAGAATTAATTCATCTTGATAGATTATTGTGCCTACGAGAGTAGACTTACATGCAATTTGAGGCATCCAAATGATTATTACAGAAGTTTTCTTAGCCCTCATGAAATTATAAAATAAAATCCTGACCATAGTAATAGCCACTAAGTACTGAGCTGACACTATGTGCTCTCCGTAAGTATTACCTGTAGTGGGCTGAATAATGGCATACCCGCGCCCCACCCTGAAAAGATATATCTGCCCTGAACCTAGGAATGTGAACTAGTTTGAAAGAAGGGTAAAAATATAATTAAGGATCCTGAGATGAGACCATCCTGAATTAGGGAAGGCACTAAATCCAATGACAGGTGTTCTTATAAGAAAGAAGAGGGAGATTGAACAGAGACACACAGACGGCCGCGTGAAAATAGCAACAGAGATTGAAATGGTGCAGTCCCAAGGAGTCTTGACAGTCACCAGAAGCTGGATGAGGCAAGGAAGGATTGTCTTCTAGCATCTGCATACAGAGTGTGGTCCTGCCAACACCTTGATTTTGGATTCCTGGCCTCCAGAACTTGAGAGAATAATTTTTTGTTTTTTAAGACTCCAAGTTTGCAATAGTTTGTTACAGCAGCCGTCAGAAACTCATACAGTATTTTCATTTTATTCTCATAACAACTATAAGGAGCAGATGCTACTGTCCCATTTTCTATATGAAGAAATTCTGTCTCAGAAAAGAAAGTAATTGACTTAAGTTCACTAAGCAAGAGCGTGACTGAGCCAGGATGTGCACCAGGTCTATCAAGTTATAAAGCCTTTTTCTTTAAAGCCAATTTTAAACTTTAAAAAACCACAAACAAACAAACAAACCCTTTCTTCTTCTAACTCTCTGGCTTCTGTCTTATAATTCCATGCCTCTTTCCTTACCATTTTCTAGAAAAAGTGAACAAGTTTATGCTAAGAATGCATTAAGATCATTCTACTCACATTCTTTTAAGTCAAGAAGCTCCTAAAGTGGGTTGAGGAGGAAGGAAACATTGAAAATTTGCTTAGTTAATGAACCCCATAAGGTCATTTTTAAAGTTTGCTTGGCATCTCAGAGTCTAAGGAAACACTGCTGTATGACTTTTTATTGAGGGTGCTGAACCTCAGTATCAACCTCTCTCTTATTTATTCATAGTTTCTCAAAGGGGCCTCTGGGTTCCTTGATGATAGTTCCCAAGGATCTGGGAGTTCTCAGATCATCTTTGAAAAAAATTCTGACTGGCCCCACTAGAAACAAGTTACTGTGTAAAATCGCAACTGCTGAGGGATATCCCCCCAAAAAAATTCAGACCTGCCAATCAATTCCAGCCCTGAGCATTGTTTCCACTTCCAGGAGGTCAATTGTCACAGACTATTTACAAAGATGAGTCTGGAAATTCCTCCCCACTCCCATCCTGTCCACTATATTGTACTTATTTTCCTACATTCTCACATTTACTTTTTTAACAGTTTTCTTGAGGTATAATTTAAATAAAATAAAGTTAAACTACTATAAGTATACATTTTATGCATATTGGCAATGTACACAGTCATGCAGCCACAACAATCAAAATAAGGAATATTTTTGTCACCACAAAAATCTTCCAGATGCCCTTCTGAGGTCAATCGCATTTTCCTACCCCTAGCCTCTGGCATCCATTATCTGCTTTCTGTCACTATAATTCTGTTTTTCCTAGAACTTCACATAAACAGAATCATCATGTATACAGTCTTTCATGTCAAATTTCTTTCACTGAGCATGATGTTTTAAACATTCATTCAAAATGCAATCTGTTTTGCATTGTTCAGTAGTTCATGCCTATATGTAGCTGAATTTCCACTGTATGGCTGTACCACAATTTGTTATCTATTTATCAGCTGATGAACATTTGGATTGCTTTCAGTTTGAGTATATTATTAATAATCCTGCTTACATCTAATTTTATTTATTTACCTCACTTTTCTTTCTTATCTTCTTTTCTTCTCTATCTTCAATACAATCTTCCTCTTTCCTATTCCAAATTGACCAGAAATAAAGTTCTATGGACCCGGAGTAGTGATTCTCAACTAGGGATAATTTCAGCTCCCCGGAGATATGTGACAATACTTGAAAGTATTTTTGATTGTCATGACTTAGAAGAGGAGATGCTACTGGCATCTAGTGGATAGAACACAGGGATGCTGTTAAATATCCTGAAAAGGGCAGCCTCCCACCAACAAAGAAGTATCCAACCCAAATATCAGTAGTGCAGAAGTTGAGAAACCAAAGTGGATGGAATGATCTTATACAGAAGCACATTCCATGAAACCTGTTGCTATGGTCTGAATGTTGGTGTCTCCTCAAAATTCATATGCTAGGAACTAACACTCAATGTGATTGTATTAAGAGGTGGGGTATTTTGTGAAGTGATTAAGTCATGAGGGTCCTGCCCTCATAAAATTTTATTTTATTTTATTTTATTTTTTCAGAGACAGATCTCACGTTGTTGTCCAGGCTAGAGTGCAGTGGGGTGATCACAGCTCACTGCAGCCTGAACTCCTGGGCTCAAGGAATGCTCCCAAGTAGCTCTGACTACAGGTGTACACCACTAGCCCAGCTAATTTTTTTTTTTTTTTTTAGAGACAGGGTCTCGCTATGTTGCCCAAATTTCCCTCATAAAACTTTATAAAAGAAGTCAAAGAGAGCTGCCTATCCCATTTCTGCCATAGGGGGACACAGCAAAAAGGTGTTATCTTTGAAGCAGAGAACAAGCTCACACCAGACACTGACTCTGTGTCTTGATCTTGGGTACCCCAGCCTTCAGAATTGTGAACAATCAATTTCTACCCTAAGATATTTTGTTACAGCAGCCCAAATAAACTAAGACACCTATTATAAGGTGGGAATACTAGTATTTTTTAAAAAAAAAAAAAAAGACCTTTTATATTTCTGAGAAAAAAAATCTTAGAATTCAAGGAATGACTTTTCATTTTTACGTACATAGTCTTTGGTACATGCACTAACTTCCAATAAAAATACACAAGGTAATACCTGAATCACGGAATTAGTTAATAATTCTGTTCAGAAAACCACGCACCAAAATCACTCATCTCCCAGCTAAATCTTTAGTTAATGTATATCTGATAAGACAGAAAGTTTATAACTCAAAGACCAAGTGCATCAGGACTTGCCAGGGGAGAAATGGCTATTTTGTCACTGTCCCCCACCAGCCATAAAGGGTAACAGTGTTACTCTGTTCATTTTCTCCAGAACCTACTGGGATATCCTTAAACCCTTCAGAAGCTTCTAGATATCTGACAAGTTTGCAACTTTAGCAAGGTGAAGACTAGCAAATGAAACAATTTTTACTTTGAAGAAATGGCCACTTCACACAATGAAGGAATTGTACTTTAGGATGATTTTATTTTTGAAACAAATTCAAGGAGCACCTGTATTAAAAATTATCTGAATTTAGCACAAAACACATAATTTACTCAATAGTGTCATTAGTCTTCAAACCTTTTATATAATCTGAAAAGAGCATGGATTTGAAGCCAGACAGATCTAAATTTTATTCAAAGCTCCGATACTTGGATTTTGTACAAACAGGGATAAACCTCTTAACTTCTCTCAGACTGAGCATCTTCATCTATAAAATGGAGAAAACAATAGTGAACTTAGAGTTTGTGTAAGGTTTTAATAAGATATTGTGTATACCAGGCCTGGTACATAGTGTGCATTTGATAAAGGTTGATTTCCTTATTATTTCCTACTGTCAGCTTTGAGCTAAATGACTTTTTAAAAAATGAACATTATCCTCAAAAACAATTATTAACATTTGCTTATATAAATGTTTAAGTATTACATATGCAACATGCTTAATGGGGGTGTATTTCTTAGCAAATATTCATGAACCCTAAGAGTTAGACTAATATATAGTACTAAGAGAAATTTCATGAGGTCCTCTGATAGAGCTACCTAATCTGCAAAAGAAAGTCACAAGATGATACACTTTAACCTAGCTGAAGTGATGCATATTTTTAAAAATAAAAATACGTGATTTGTGATACTGAACGAATTTCTCAGTCCCTTATTATTGAACATGCTCATAATTCATGAAATACACTTCACCCAAAATAAAATATTTGAATTAACCATGCTGCTTGACAGACAAATATAACATCTCTCTTTTCTCACAGATTATTCTCTCATCTCTTCCTATACAATGTATTTTTTACTTAAAATTAATACTTCTCTTTTGAGCTGTAAAACCATTTGAGACACATTATACTTCTAAGATGTTGCAGAAAACAAAATCATATTATCATTTTCTAATTTAGAATGTAAATGGAAAGGAACATGCTCAATGAAAGTAAAATACCTCTATTTCTTTACTAACTCTGCACATAAAAACAGGAAGGAAGGCCCGGCGCGGTGGCTCATGCCTGTAATCCCAGAATTTGGGGAGGCCGAGGCAGGTGGATCACCTGAGGTCAGGAGTTCGAGACCAGCCTGGCCAATATGGTGAAACCCCCGTCTCTAGTAAAAAGACAAAAAATTAGCTGGGCGTGGTGGCGGGCCCCTGTAATCCCAGCTACTCTGGAGGCTGAGGCAGGAGAATCGCTTGAACCCAGGAGGCGGAGGTTGCAGTGAGCTGAGATCTCGCCATTGCACTCCAGTGTGGGAAACAAGAGCGAAATTCCACCTCCAAAAAAAAAAGAAAAAACAAACAGGAAGGAAGTAAAAAGGGAAGAGAAGAAGGAGGAAGAGAGGGAAGAAGGAAGAAAGGAAACAAGAAAAAAAAGAGAAACGTGTACCACCCTTTACCTTAAACAGCAGCAGCAGCAGTAAAACACCCTGTGGTGTGGGGGAAACACTTTCCATCCTCTCCTCTGCGGATCTCAATTTTTCATGGTCTTTGGGATTGTGCTTCATGGAAAGTGCTAACACTCATGACACTAATCTATTCAATGATGTATAGAGATCCTGTTCCTCTAAGAAGAAAATGGAAACAGATGTCTTTCTTTATGAGGAGATTCCTGAGGGAATTACATCACTAATGAGAAGAGGAGCTAGAAGAAGAAAAAAAAAAAAAAAAAAAAGGCTATGCCCAGCCACAAAAATGTAGAGTAGAACTTTTATTTGACAATCTTCTAGAAATTAAGTGCACTGTTGGAGCAATACAGATAGACATTCTTCTGTGAAGAATGACTTTTCCAAATATGTTTCTCAAGTAGCCAGTTCCAGATATATTTTTAGCATATTTAGCTAAAATAGGACTGCTACTTCTTGATTGGAAAGATGACACTGGCTGTCATATGGGGGCATCTTTACATACCCTCCTAAAATCAGTTTTAAGAATTATCTTATCTTACCTCGAAATAGTTATGAGATAGTTTCATATGAAATTGAACTGGGATTGAGGAAAAATATAAGAAAGGTAGGGAGGTAGTTTGTAAAAACTAGAGAAATTGATTAAAGGATGTAGATATATATAATTACTTATATTTATTGTATTGAAAAAATGTTATTAATGCAATTTACATTCATGAAAACCTAATCCTATTACTCTTTTGTTTAACTTTTTTCAATTGCTCCCCATAATAAACTCTGTACTAGGGCATGAAGTACCATTTCATTCTGTGTATCCTTAACATCCATTCAATTTCATCCTTTACCATTCCACTTCTATTCTAAATGCTCAAGTAATTTAACATCATCTGTTGTTCCCTGACAAATCTCTTATGCATTTGCACGTAACTGCCTGGGGTACTCCTCCTCACTGTCACCACCTGGAAACCAACTAATCTTCCTTTGTGACTCAGATTTCATTTTATGGGAGGCCTTCTCTGACTCTACCCAGGTGATTTAAGACCCTATTTTTCTGTACAACTTTTTAAAATCTGTATATAACTCCATTATACATATCAAAATATTATAATTATTACTGTGATTTTTAACTACTAAGCCACAAACACTACACTATGAGTGTAGAAACTGTCTTTTCATTATTGTGTGCAACTATTAAATGTTTGTTGTTTGAAAGCCTGAATGAAGTAAATAACCAGATGAATTAATAAATAAATTAACTGACTAGAAACACAAAGAGATAAGTGCTTATGAGTCTTGAAGAACAAAAAATTAAAGTCAGAACAGGATCAACATTGGTTTTTAATCAGAATTAAATAAACGTAAACTGAATATCCTTAATTCTCAATTCTATTGATGCAGATGGGTGTCACTTTAACAGTTAAACAAAGTTATATAATAATCATATAAATATTCTGCTTTTGTCTCTATTTACCCCCAAAGTCTCCAGTCTCCTGGAAAATATGCCCCCTAATATTTCTTAGGTCTCCCTACATGACAGCCTATATAGACTCTCAAACCTACCTTTAGAAAACTTGCCCTGACCTTGCTCTCCTGCCCTAGTTTCTCCTTAGCAACAACTTCTGTTCCCCAACCTGGCTGAAGGTCCCCAACTGCTGTGATTTCTGGTGCTGCCTCCCATGAGAACTCAACAAAGATGCTGTCTCCCAAATATCCCAAAGCCAACAATCCACAAGAGTCAGAAAGGCAATAGTGAAACTGCCTGCCCCCGTATTTATCAATTGTTGCCACCCAGGTGATATAACTTGAACTGTTGAGCACTTTCTCATTGCATCTGAAAAAGGTTTTTATGAAAATAGTACTTCCTTCCATGCCTTTTTCCACAGGTGCTCAAGAAAATGTGTAGGCAGCTTGAAAGAGGACCAGACCCTTAATGACTCTTTCATTGTCTTTTCTCAAAGATCCTGTGCACAAACCTCTCCTTTCCTCTCTCAGCCAAAATTATCAGGCTGTCATGTAAATAGACCACTGATTGCCTGTAATCACAAATTCCTCAAATAGATCCAAAGAAATCTGAATTCTTTCTGTGTTTAGCAAGGATTCTGGCTACAAAAAGATTAGGCTGATGTCAGAATTTTAGAATATTACTCCCCAAAATGTCAACGCTTCTTTCATACATTCTTTATGTGGGAGAAGAAAATGAGCAAGGGTGAACTATAAGAACAAGTCATTAATGTCTACATACTAGGTAACCCAGAAGACATACTTGCATGGCGCTGAAGAGCAGAAGTTGTTTGGAAATGAGAAAATAATCCAGATACGTTGCCCAGAATGGGAAACACTTACAATCTACATGGAGAATAACATTTTAAAAGTTCCCATACACCTAGGAAAATTCTGATTATGTTGTAATCATGACAACAAATAACCACAAAAATTCATTTTAGATCAATCAGTGATAGAGTACCTCAGTGAACACACTTTTGCAAACCAATCAGTGACAGTCCTTTGCTTTTGAAAATCAGCCAAATAAGGATAGGTTTGCCCCATGAACAAGCTTTTAAAACTCAATCTATCAACTACACTCTTGCCCAAGTAACCATGTTTCTAAAGGTGACATCAACCCATCCCTAAAACTCCACCAACTCCCCGACTTACTATTTCCCAAAAGCCTTTTATACAATCAGTTCCTTGCTATGCTCAGAGAGGATGTACCTAACCAGCATAGCTCTCCCTTACTTAAGTAAGCAATAAATTCAGCACTGTGTATGTGTGTGATTGCAGATACTAAATGGTGGCCTCATTCTTTGATATCACCTAAGTTAAACATGCTACTGGTTGGGAAAGCTATCCCAAAGAATTTTAAGAGGGGTGGCATACCCAAAAGGCCAAATTTGACTTAACCTTGGACCTTGCCATGAAGGACAGCTGTGCCTATTCCCAGCAAATGCCTTTTGGAGCCACTTCCTGATTCCCTCCCTAATAAACTTTTTTAATTTGCATACTTAAATTTTTTTAGCCTTTCATTCCACCTCTGTAAAATACACATGATACTATCTCATTGTGTTAATATGATTGCTAAATTACATGATAAAGGTGTTCTAAATAATAAAGCATTCAAATATTTATAAATACTAGTCATCAATTTGCACGGCCCCATTCACTCCAGGAGCGAAAAAAAAAAAAAAAAGGCTATAAAGAGAAAAATTCTTCCTCTCTGCCTATCTTCTCTTCTTGTCTTCCATGCTTCAGATGCAATAAATGTTATTAATTTCTGGTGAATTCTTCTAGATATGTTCCTATACTAACATAGCATTGTGTGCATTATTTTCAAAAATAGTACACAATTTGTACACAAATTATACATTTTTTTCTGTCTATTTTTTATTTTACCATTGATCCTAAGGCTCGTTCTATAACACTATAGAGTATCCATCCTTATCCTCTGGATATATGTTCCAAGACCCCAGTGGATGCCCCAGTGGATAGTCCAAACCCATATATACTCTACCTTTTCGATCTGAAAACCAAGCTAGCTACTAAGTGATGGTAAATAGCATATACAATGTGGATATGCTGGACAAAAGGATGATTCACATCCCAGGTTAGACGAAGCAGGATGGTACAAGATTTCATCATACTACTCAGAATGGCTCACAATTCAAACTTATGAATTGTTTATTTCTGGTCTTTTTTTTCCTCCCCGAGATGGAGTCTTGATATGTCACCCAGGCTGAATTGCAATGGTGCGATCTCGGCTCACTGCAAACTCTGCCTCCTGAGTTCAAGAAATTCTCCTGCCTCAGCCTCCTGAGTAGCTAGGATTACAGACGCCCACCACCACGCCTGGATAATTTTTGTATTTTTGTTAGAAATGGGGATTCACCATGTTGGCCAGGCTGGTCTTGAACTCCTGACCTCATGATCCACCCTCCTCAGCCTCCCAAAGTGCTGGGATTACAGGCATGAGCCACTGCGCCTGGCCGTTTATTTCTGGAATTTCCCATTTAATATTTTCAGACCACCATTGACCACAGGCAACTAAAACCAGAGAAACAAAAACCACAGATAAAAGGGGACTACTGTATACGGAATATTTTTTGTTATTTTTTAAGGGCTGCTTAGAATTCCACATTATAGTGTTTTATGATTTGCTTAACCTATGACCTACCATGGGAATGTAGGTGGTTTCCAATCTTTGGTTGTATCAGAAATTGTATTATTAAAGAAAGTATACAGATACATTTGCACACACACATTGCGTGTATAAGCTATGGGAATAAATTCTCAATGTAGAATTGCTGGGTGAAAATGTACATGCATTTTAAATTTTAATAGCTATTGCCAAATAGCTCTCCTTATGTCAATTCATTTCGCCATCAATAGAAGAGAGAATAAATCTCCTGTCAGTATATTTATCAATTTTGTTACCCAAAATTTTGTCAATGATAAAAAGGTTTTATTTTACTTAATATTGATTTGCAAAGTATTTATTATGTGCAAAGTTGAATTCTATTCTTTTGTTTAAAAATTATGTTTATTTTTTCCTGCAAAGTCTGGTCATATACTTCACTCATGTTTGAATTATGTTTACACAGCCTATATAGCCTTTTAAATTAATTTATGGGAGGTTTTTATATTTGATAATTAGGTCTTCCTCACATGTTTTCCAAATATTTTCCCAGCTTGTTATTTGTTTTTCGAATTTGCTTATAGTATTTTTTCTATCAAAAATCAATATTTTATGGCTTTTGAATTTTTGCATTGCTCTCCTCAACTACAGTAATGTATTTTTGGTCTAAGTTTTATTCCAATACTTTTACAGTTTCAAATGATTTTGTTATAAGGAATGAGACAGAATCTAAGTTTATTTATCCAACTACTCTCAATTGTCACTTATTCATTGTTTTTCACCTATGTAAAATCTTAACACTACACTTTTGTAAATATGGATGCCTTTTTCTATTAGATTCCGCAAAATTATATCAGTACCATGCCGTTTGGATTATAACAGTTTCATAATGTGCTATAATATCAGATAGAGCTAGTTCATTTAACTACTATCCTTTTTTCCTTAATTTTTTTGGCTGCTCTTGTACATTTTTATATACATTGTACACTTTTTAATCAATTCATCTAGCTATATGGTTTTTAAATCCTTGTAGATTACATATATGGCACTTAACAGGTTTAAAAAACTGATCTTCCCAATCAAAGCACAGGCTGTTTATTTTCTTATTTTTAGGTTTTCTTTTGCTTCTCATTGTAGCAATGATTTTCTTCATGACTATATTTTAAAATATATATTATAATGGTACAGATTTCTATATATTGATTTCCTGAACTTTGTTATTGCTTATAATAGCTATTCAGATGAAGTTATTGGTTTTTCCAGAAATACAGCCAGATCTTCTTCAAATAATGATACTTGTATACCACTTTTACATTTAGAGAATGCTTGTTAAGGAAATAGATTTCAAACAAACAGGAATATGTGATAATTTAGAGTCATTACTCATTTGCCTTGCAAAGTGGTGGTAGAAGAGTGAGTCTGTGTGTTTGCAAGCACCCCCTCTTTCCTAACAGACCCTAATCTTACATTAAGAAGCCTTTTCTTTTACCTGCAAATAAACTAGAGAATGAACTTGTCTCATAAGATTTATACAATTCTTCTTTTAGTAAAATTCTTTATACTATGGTCAATACAACACTTATTTGAGGGAAAAGACAAGATGGTTAACTAGACACAGCCATCAAGTGCTTCTCCCACCAAGAGACCAGACCTTCATGGTCACGAGACCAGACCTTCATGAAGACTAGTACACTCCAAGTAGATCTTTGGAAGGAAGGCATTGACAGTGGATGGAGAGAAGATGCAGACACTGGGATGAAGAGGAAGGAAGCTAGGAACTCTGCATGGGGCTAATGAGCACCAGGACTCATTCCTGGCCCCAAGCAGTTACTGGGGAAGGAGTGAGTTAAATAGGCATGGAATGGCCCACTCTCACCATAGACCTCTGGAATCCTAGCTGCAGGAGACCCAGTGACCTCCATGGACATTTGAGCTTGCAAGAAGAGCTGGTTGGAGAGTTGACAGGGACAGGACTCTAGCCCATGTGGAGCCCAGCTGGTTTGGCAAGGAATACCTACAGTGGAGCACAGCCAGGGATGCCCATCCCCCAAGGCTCATCTCACTCCTTAGGGTGGCTTTGGCCTTTGTTGATAGGGGCTCCTAGAAAGAACAGGGCTATCTTTCCTGTGGGATGGGGCAGGCTGATCTGAGTGCCCCTCTGTCTGCCAGCCTCTCCCAGGGTCTCTTCCTGGGCTGCACCTACTTGCAACTCAGCCTCAGATGATCTTGTAAATGGTACAAGAGCTGAAAGATGAAATAGCCATCTTTAAAAGGAATGAAGCTGATCTAATAGAGCTGAAAACTCACTACAAGAAATTCATAATATAATTGGAAATATTAAGAGCAGAATAGACCAAGCTGAGGAAAACATCTCAGAGCTTGAAAACCAATTCAAATCAACTCTGTCAGATAAAAATAAAAAAATCAAAAAGAATGAACAAGAACTCTAAGAAATATGGGTTATGCAAACAGACCAAATGTATGACTCACTGCCATCCTTGAAAGACAGGGAGAGACCAAGCAATTTGAAAAACATATTTGAGAATATTGTCCCTCAAAATTGCCCAACCTCACTAAAGAGTTCGAGATTCAAATTCAGGAAATTCAGAGAACCCCTACAAGATACTACATAAGATGACCATCTCCAAGACACACATAGTAATCACATTCTCTAAGGTCATTGTGAAATAAAGCAGCTAGAGAGAAGGGGCATGTCACCTATAAAGGGAACCCATCAACTAAGAGCAGAGTGCTTTGAGCAGAAACCCTTACAAGCCAGAAGAGATTGGGGGCCTATATTCAGCATCCTTAAAGAAAAATAATTTCCACCAAGAATTTCATATCCAGCCGAATTAAGCTTCATAAGCAAAGGTGAAATAAAATTATTTTTGGACAAGTAAATGCTAAGAGAATTCGTTATCACCAGACGTGTCTTACAAGATGCCCTTAAGGGAGTGTGAAATATGGAAACAAAAGACCATTACTGGCCACCAAAAAAAAAAAAAAAAGGGAAAAAAGAAAAAAAAACCACCACTTGAGTACATAGGTCATTGACACCATAAAGAACTACACACACAATCAAGTCTACATAAGAGTTAGCTAATTTCACAGTGATAGGATAAAATGTGTACATATTAATATTCCTTGAATGTAAGTGGGCTACATGCCCCACTTAAAAGGCACAGAGTGGCAAGTTGGATAAAGAAGCAAGACTCAATTGTATGGTGTTTTCAAGAGACCCATCGCATATGCAATGACACCCAAAAGCTCAAAGTAAGTGGATGCAGAAAACTCTATAATGCAAATGGAAAACAAAAAAGAGCAGGGTTTATTCTTCTCATTCCAAACAAAACAGACTTTAAATAACCAACTATCAAAAAGGACCAAGAAGGAAATTACATAATGATAAAGGGTTCAATACAACAAGAAGACTTAACTATCCTAAATATATATGCACTCAACACAACGGTACCCAGAAAAAACAACTTCAAAGAGACTTAGATAACCACACAGTGATAGTGGGAGACTTCAACACCCTATTGACAGTATTAAACAGATTATCAAGGCAGAAAACTAATAAAGATATTTGAGACCTAAACTCAACACTTGGCCAAATGGACCCAAGAGACATCTAGAGAAGACTCCATGTAAGTACAACAGAATTGACATTCTTCTCATCTGCACATGGCATTTACTCTAAAATTAACCATATGTTTGGATGTAAAGCAATTCTCAACAAATTTTAAAAAACCAAAATCATACCAACCACACTCTCAGATCTTAGTGCAATAAAAACAGAAATCAATACCAAGATCTCTCAAAATCATACAACTATGTAGAAATTAAATAATCTGCTCCTGAATGACTTTTAGGTAAACAATGAAATTAAGGCAGAAATCAAGAAATTCTTTAAGACTAATGAAAACAAAGATACAGCATACCAGAATCTCTGGGACACAGCTAAAACAGTGTTAAGAGGAAAGTTTATAGCTCGATATGCCCACATCAGAAAGAAATATCTCTAAAAACCTAACATCACATCTAGAGGAACCAGAAAAGCAAGAGCAAACCAACCCCAAAGCTAGCAGGAGAAAAGCAACAATCAAAATAGAGCTGAACTGAAAGAAACTGAGATGTGAAAATCCACACAAAAGAGCAACAAACCAAAAGTTGATTCTTGGAAAGAAAAAATAGGATTAATAGACAACTACTTAGATGAATAAAGAAAAAAAGAGAGAAGATCCAAATAAACACAATCAGAAATGGCAAAGGGGACATTATCACCAACCCCACAGAATAACAAAAAAAGAAAACTTCAGAGACTATTACAAACACCTCTATGCACAGAAACTAGAAAACCTATAAGAAATGGATAAATTGCTAGAAACATACAACCTCCCAAGATTCAACCAGCAAGAAATTGAAACCCTAAACAGGCCAAATGAGTTTTGAACATTAATCAGTATTAAAAAATCCTACCCAACCAGGGACCAGACAAATACACAGCTGAATTCTACCAGCTGTATAAAGAACTGGTAACAATTTACAAAAAATATTCCAAAAAATTGAGGATGAAGGACTCCTCCACAACTCACTGTAGGAGGCTAGCATCATTCTGATATCAAAACCTGGCAGAGACACACACAAAAAAATAGAAAACTTCAGGCCAATATCCCTGATGAAACGTAGATGCAAAATCCTCAACAAAATACAAGCAAATTCAATCCAGCAGCACATCAAATAGCTACTCTACCACAATCAAGTCAGCTTTATTCCTGGGATCCAAGGTCAGTTCAACATATACAAATCATTAATTGTGATTCATCACATAAAGAAAACAAACAAACAAAAAACCCATATAATCACCTCAATACACTCAGAAAAGGCTGTTGATAAAATTCAATACTCCTTTATGTTAAAAAATATAAACCTCAATAAACTACACATCAAAGGAACATACATCAAAATAATAAGAGCCACCTATCACAAACCACAGCCAATACTGAACAGGCAAAAACTGGAAAAATTACTCTTGAGAATCAGAACAAGACAAGGATACCCACTCTCACCACTCCTATTCAACATAGTACTAGATGTCTTAGCCAGAGCAATCAGGCAAGAGGAAGAAAGAAAAGGCATTGAAATATGAAGACACAAAGTCAAATAATATCTCTTCACTGAAAATGTGATATGACTCTACACCTAGAAAACCTCCTGTCTGTGCCCAAAATCTCCTACATTTAATAAACAGCTTCAGCAAAGTTTGTAGGATACAGAAATCGTTGTACAAAAATAAGTAGCATTTCTATACACCAATAACATCCAAGCTGAGAGCCAAATCAAGAATGTAATCCCATTCACAATAGGCACAAAAAGAAGAAAATACCTAAAAATACAGCTAACAAGGAAAGTGAAAGATCTCTATAACGATAGCTATAAAATGTCACCGAAAGAAATCAGAAAAGACACAAACAAATGGAAAAACGTTCTACAACATGCATAGGAAAAATCAATATTGTACGAATGGCCATACTGCCCAAAGCAATTTACAGATTCAACACCATTTCTATCAAGCTACCAATGTCATTTTTCACAGATTTCTAAAACTCATATAGAGCCAAAAATTAGCCCAAATAGCCAAAGCAAGTCTAAGCAAAAATGACAAAGCTGGAGGCATCACACTACCCAACTTTAAACTCTACTGCAAGGCTACAGTAACCATAACAGCATGGTACTTGTACAAAAACAGACACATAGACTAGTAGAAAAGAACAGAGAATGCAGAAATAATGCCACACACCCACAGCCATCTGATCTTCAACAAAGTCAACAAAAATAGGCAATGGGAAAAGTATTCCCTATTCAATAAATGGTGCTGGGATAACTGGCTAGCCATATGCAGAAGACTGAAACTAGACCCTTACATTTTATCATATACAAAAATAAACTCAAGATAGATTAAAGACTTAAATGCAAACCTAAAACTATAAAAACTCTAGAAGAAAACCTAGAAAATACCAATCTAAACACAGGCCCTGGCAAAGATTTCATGACAGATGCCAAAAGCAATTGTAACAAAAACAAAAATTGACAAGCAGGACCTAATTAAACTAAAGATTGTCTGCACAGCAAAAGAAACTATCAACAGAGTAAACAAAAAACCTAAAGAGTGGGAGAAAATATTTTCATGCTATGCATCCAGCAAAAGTCTAATATCAAGAATCTACAAGGAACTTAAACAAACTTACGAGCAAAAACCAAACAACCACTTTTAAAAATGGGCAAAAGACATGAACAGACATTTCTCAAAAGAAGACATACACATGGCCAATAAATATATAAAAGAATATTCAATATCACTAATCAGTACAGGAATGCAAATCAAAACCACAATGAGGTACCATTTCATACAAGTTAGAATGGCCATTTTTAAAAATTCAAAAAAGAACAGATGCTGGTGAGGCTGAGGAGAAAGGGAACACTTAATTACTGCTGGTGGGAATATAAATTAGTTCACACACTGTGAAAAGCAGTTTGGAAATTCCTCAAAGAACTAAGAGTTGAATTACCATTCAACCCAGCAATCCCATTACTGAATATATACCTAAAGAAATATTAATTGTTCTACCATAAAGACACATGCACACATATTTTCATTGCAGCACTATTCACAATAGCAAAGACATGGAATCAATTTAGATGCCTATCAACAGTGGACTGGATAAAGAGAATGTGGTACATACACACTACGGAATACATACATCCATAAAAAAAGAACAAAACCATGTCCTCTGCAGCAACATGGATACAACTGGAGGCTATTATCCCAAGCAAATTAATAGAGGAACAGAAAACCAAATACTGAATGTTCTCACTTATAAGTGGGAGCTAATTACTGATTACACATGGACAAATAGAAGGGAACAAGATACACTGGTATCTACTCGAGAGTGGAGGGTGTAAGGAGGGTGAGAATAAAAAAGCTTTTGGGTTACTATTCTCATTACTTGGGTATGAAATAATTTATATATCAAACCCCAGTGAAATGCAATTTACCCATGTAACAAACCTGTGCATGTACCCTGTGAGCCTAAAATAAAAATATAAATAAATAAACTTATCACTTGTAAATAATACCTATTATAGGTAATATGGGTATTATATTTTAAATAATACCTATTATAGGTAATATAGGTATTGTATTTCAAATAATACCTATTATTTATAAGTGATAGAGAACTTATCACTTCTCTAGACAAGGAAAAATTTATAATTCTGAGACTAGAGAGCTTTCATAAAGAAAATGTTAAGAAAATTATAAGAAAGGAAATATATTTACTAATCATTAAGTAGAAATGGATCATTATGTAGGTGTTTATCCTCATCATCTTTACATTAAATAGTCTACAGAGAAAGGAAGATGAAAGGTTAATGTTGCTATCTCAGGAGTGGCAAAGGTAGAAGAATATCTGCCTATATTTGGACCCACATAGTTCAAACTTCTGTTGTTCAAGAGTGAATTACATGTATATTGGAGTTAAGGGGCAGGATACAGAACCATGAAAAATATTATTTCACTCCACATAAACCTTTTGTGATCATAAATAAAGCCTAATTGATTTGGCTAACAAGGTTAGTGGCAGCATGAAAATTAGCATCTCTGCACCATTCTTCCAGTCTCTATTGTCAAATCATTATAATTTCATTTTTAAAAAGGAATTTTTTAAATTTATAACTTATTTTAAAGAATTATATTTCTAATGTTTCTAAGGTACTAATTTAAGTTTCCTTCACTAAGTTTATACATAAGGAGAGTTAATGTTTCATGACCAGAACTTGTATATGTCAATATATTAAGCTATTCTTTAACATCTTCTACAAGTATTTGCAGAACTCAGCTTTATAATTTTTAAGAGAGGGTGTACTTATAACTTATGTTATTTTGAATCGATTACTTGATGCCAAATATAAAGCTGGCCAACATTACAAAATTGAAAGTCCACAGAAAATTAAAGCAACATAAATATATCAGGAATATCTGCATTTAAAATAACTAAAGAAAGGAATTGGTCTCCTCTCCTTGTGTGGTTTGAAAAGCTGCTAATATGTCTGTCTCTTCCTTTATCCTCATAACCACAAGGCAAAACTCAACAGGATGTGGTTTTTCCGGTTGCTTTCTACTCCTGTAAAGGCCCACTGCTTCCATTCAAACACAAGCAATGGGGCCCTGATAAACACCAGCATCAAGAATAGGCAGATGTTCTGTGGAAATATTCTGTAACTTTCCCACGAAAGTGCAAGAATATCTGAGATGCACGAAGAAAACATTTTGCCTCCATGGCTGACTGATTTAGTTGGGCATTTAGGTGGCCTTGGGTTAAAAGAAAATAGACTGAGAAAAAAGAATATGCTGTAGATTTTAATTATTCTTTTCCCAACCACACCATGAACAGCAACTATAAAAGTTTATCTTCTGATAAATCTTCCCCTTTCATTGAAGTGTAAACCCAGCTTTAACAGCCACTGTGTTCTAAGCTACTGGTTCCAAATTGTTAAAAAGCAAAGAAAGTGCAGGCAAAGGCGCCAACACTTTACACATGATGTGCAACTTCTATGTTCCAAAAACTTTGCATTCGTGAAGAGCCATCCTCAAGTGGCTGGTAATGCTTAATAAACACAGGCTGAAAACACCTGTAACCCTCCTTTTGATGCTTCCTGTAACAATGTTGAAGTCCCTCTACAAGCACAGAGCCTAAAAATGAAAACTGCCATTAAAACTTGGGGCATAAGCAAAATCCAAAATTGAGTTAAAATGAGGCTAGCTAGAGTAAGCTGTTCTGTTTTCCTTTTCCATTCACGATGATAGATGTACATGATTCACTGATGTGACAGAATACACAGCTGGGAAACAATATGCCAAGGTCAGGAACTCATTCAGTCATTCCACAAATTTTTGGAAAACTTGTAATGATATAAGGCTGAACAATATGAACCAGAAACACTATGCCAGTGGTGCAGCCTTAGAAAGACAAAATTAACTAGTCCTCATGAGAATTTAATCTCACATTGTTAGGCCTGGCACGGTGGCTCACATCTGTAATCCTAAAACTTTGGGAGGCCGAGGCGGGTGGATCACTTGAGGTCAGGAGTTCGAGACCAGCCTGGCCAACATGGTAAAACCCCGTCTTTACTAAAGGTACAAAAATTAGCTGGGCATGGTGGTGGACGCCTGTAGTCCCAGCTACTTGGGAGGCTGAGGCAAGAGAATTGCTTGAGGTTGCCTTGAGCCGAGATTGAGCCACTGCACTCCAGCCTGGGCAACAGAGTGAGACTCCATCTAAAAAACAAAAAAAATTACATTGTTAATGTATAGTCAACTCAATCAGACACAGGTTGATATTAAACTAAAAAAAAATTAATGATAATCACAATTACCACCATTTATTAAGGGATGACCATAAGCCAATTGTGCTAAATGAGATAGATATATATGTATGTATATTTATATATATATATGTATATATTCTAATTGAATCCTTATACAACTTTATTCTGCTTCCACATTAAACTATGTAACTCCACAATATCGCCCAGTCTCCCTTTTGACAAGATTAACATTCCCTATATCAGGGGTTCCAAACCCCCAGGCCACAGATGTTCAAATCAGTGGTCGCATTAGATTCTCATAGGAGTATGAACCCTATTGTGAACTGCACATGAGAGGGATCCAGGCTGCACACTCCTTATTAGAATCTAACTAATGCCTGATGATCTCAGGTGGAGGAGTTTCATCCTGAAACCATCCCCTCCCCCACCCCGCAGCCCCGTTCATGGAAAAATTGTCTTCCATGACACCAGTCCCTGGTGTTGTAAAGGTTGGAGGCCACTGCCCTATGTAACCTTATCCTGTGATATGTCCCCTAATACCTCCTGGACATTCAAGCTGTCACACAGATGATTCCTGTTTGTTCTCCTGAGTCACCCATGAAGGGAGAATTCACACACTGAGGCTCATAGTCAGAGGACTGTCCACCAACTTCCCCAAGTAACTGGCATTGCTATTGCCACCTCCCATGAATACAGAGCAGGAGATGACTGGGAAGTAAAAGTTGTAATGGGATCTTGAAGTTGTACCCTGGTATAGAACTCTACATGTCACTGAATTACATTGAGTAAGAGGTATTTCTATTATGCCTAAATAAAAAAAAAATTAAAAATTAAAAAAGGAGGGGAAAGCCTATGTGAGCCGTAAAGAAAAGGAGGGCATCATACCAAGACAGATAAGATCCCAAAATGCAGTCCTGTGATGAGGAAGCACTTGATCTGGCCAATATAACTTGCCCAGCTAAATACTATGGCAATTCCTCAGACATGGGGGCTGCCAGAGCATCTCCCACTTGCACTAATCCACGTGCCTTTTTTCATGTAAGTCAGAGATTCAGTGACTGCTTACTGAAATCTAGAGAATCTGTAGAGGTTAGACACCAAACGAGGCTCCTCTTCTCACTGTCTTTGGTCCCCCACCTCTTGTGTCTGACATCACAGAAACCAGGAACTTGGTGCCACTGCTCATGGGGCACATATCCCAGCTCTGATGGCATGGGGGTGTGGGAGAGATTGAACAAATAGGGGAAGGCACAGATAAGGTTCAGAACAAGTTACTACACTCCCTCAAGAAACAAATGAAAGGTCATTTGGGACCATCCATAAAGCTGTCAGAATGGTCTTCTCAGATATACAAAATAATGGAGTCTTATAGATACAAAAAATTATAGAAAGTAGAAGGTGAGTAGGGGGGAGTCCTTTCCCCTTTGAGACTGTGAGAGTATCACTCAGTGCCTCTCAAGGCTATGAACATTTGATCCTAGATAGCAGTCAACTCTTCACTTCTGTCACTCAGGCTTTGTCTCAAAACTCAGAGGAGTGGTTTTCAAACTGTACTCCAACGAGCTGTGAGGTTACAAGAAGGTGCCTCAAGTTTCCACCAGCAGCGATTTGGCTGGATAAGGTACTGAGACAGACAGTCTTTGAGCTTTCCATTTCTGTTCTCAACAAAGCAGCTACACTCTGTGTTGGGATTCCACATTTGGAAAAAAATGGTTTAACTGTTTAAGAATTTTTGAAAACCATTGGCTTAGGGACAATGACATCAGTAAGATTTTTTAAAATGAAAATGTAAATCCCTTGACACACATTTTGTTAACGTGTTCTGCATATCATTTAGTACAATGAGTCACACCAGCAATTCCCAAGTTCCCAAATTCCAAGTTCTTATTTATAAATCTCAAGACAGCTGTAGCTTTGTAGAGGTTATATAAATTTATTGGTTTGTAAGAAAAAGACAGAGAGAGAGGGAAAGAAAGAGAGAGAGAGAACCATTCCCCCTCCTCAGGAGATATGAAGTATGGGGAATACTCTCCACTTTGGGTAGCATGTCTTACAACAAAAATTGTGAGGCAGAGTGGGTGAGGGAAAGTGAGGGATGGTTTAAATGTTTAATGGCAGCCAGTGAGGGTTTGCTTTAGCACATAAACATAAGTTTTGAGTCCCTGCGGAGATATACTGTAAAAAGAGTAAAAGAGTTCATGCCAGTGCTGAGAGTAAAGGGAACTCTCCCAAGAATAGAATTGTGAAGAACTATAGTGTGTGAGAATTAGATTTTGATTAACTGAAGGAAGAGAGGATTAAAGTTCAGAATTAGGAATAGCTAGTCGTTTGTGGGTAAAGGAGAGAGAATTAATCTAAAGTAGCAAAACTGATTGCAGCTGTATGAGTTGGGTTCACGCAGGATTACCTCAAGTAATGGGAGGTTTATTGTTAAGATCAATTTTCACATGAGGACCACAGAAATCTCATGGGAATCCCAGAGCATAAGATGTCACAGAAACTAAAACACAATTGGGAGAGTGGAGGCTCAGGCAGAACTCTGGAGATTCAATAGGTTTTCTTATTACCTACTGTGAGGCAGGAGACTGTTGCTTCTCTGCCTGCATGGTATCGAGCTCTTATCTTTCTCTGTTCTCCTTTCACAAACTGAAAACAACAGCACCCATTACTGTTAGCTTATTTCCTCATGGCTTCCTGTCCCACCACTTTTCTGAATGTCTTTATCAACTTCTGCTTCTATTGCCTAATCTCTTGGCCCTTATTTCCAGTTGAAATTCATAAGAGAAAGAGTCTAAATTTCCCAGCTAATCCTTTCTGGGAGCAGAATTTTCACTTGTCAAATCATGTCATGGGTAAGCCTACACATTGCTCAGGTGCCCACCCTGGTACAGTTAGCTGTCAGTAAGGAACAGGGGAGTCATGTGGTATAGACCATAGTCACCCCATCTCTGGAGTGACTTAAACTTCCTCCCCTGGCCGGGGCTTCAGGTGAGGTAATTTCCCTCAGACGGCTCAATATCTTGACCAAGCTGTCTAGTAGAGCAGTGATGGGAAACAAAGGGAAACAGGGAAATAGATGGAAAGAGATGAGAGGAGGGGAAAGAGAACGTATCCAGGGTGCTAAATAGACAGCACAAAGTGTAGGCACCACAGGACCTACATCAAGGTCGGGGAAAGAATCTATGTGCTCTGAGGAACATTTTTAAAAACAATCCTGAATCGGTGAGGAATGTAGCCATAAAGTCAGCTCATTAATTAATACACAGAAAAATAAATGATTGATTAATGGAGAGATGATAAATAGATAGATGATGAGCACAAAACTAAGATTTTATTTTTGTCCTAAGGAACAGCTAAATTCCTGGCAAATACTTCATCTTCATCAAGTAAAGTTACCTCCATTAGCAGTGCCTCATTAATTTAGCACTGAGGCCTGGGCAAAGCTTACCTCATGCATATATTAAATAAGAAAATAAATAAGGAAAACGGAGAAATCCATGTTAAAACATCAAGTTTTCAATGAAGAAATGTTTTGATAATAATAAACAAATTCATTTGTGTAACTTTTAAGTTAAAGCTATGTTATGTTAAGTAGAAAAAAACATGTTTAGGAACTTTTTAAAAATCAAATAGATTAAGAGGGTATTTTCCTCATAAATCACATACAGTCTTCCTTGTGAAAGGGACTACCAGTTGGTTCTTAATATCCATCAACTTTCCCCTCTTTCTTTAGTGACAAGAATTTAATTTTTGGATGAGCATGCTGCTGCCAAGCTATAAGATTATGGCTAATATGGTTTAATAATTAGATTTTAGTCAACAATATATAAATAGAAGTATTGTGTTCAACTTTCAGGAAGTATTCTTATTGGGAAAGTGACAGCCTTTTTTCTGTTTCATCCTTCCTGTTATGCAGCAATCACCAATAGTGTCAGGGAGCCCCAATATCATTTTCAGGTTTGATGATTAACAGTAGGACTCACAAGCTCCCAAAAAGCTTTTATGCCCATTGTACAGTTTATTACAGCAAAAGGATGCAGATTAGAATCAGCAAAGAGAAGAGGTGGATAGAGTGGAGTCTAGGAGATAACTAGGGACAAGGTAGCTCTCTGGGGTGTCTTCTAAAGGGTGCTAATCCCAATCATAAGGAGCCTGCCCTCATGACCTAATCACTCCAAAAGATCCCATCTCCTAATACCTTGGGAGTTAGGTTTACAACAAAGGAATTTGGGGGGAACACAAATATTGAGACTATAACACTTATCTTAGCAGTTGCAGATGAACAATACAGACAGAACATTTCCTCTACAGAGTCATAGGGTAAGGAGCGTCATCCAGTATGGAGTGGAAGCAGGGAGCACTTGGAAAAAACATTAAGTGGTTCATGCTCCAAGCCTGAGCTAAGCTACTTGGAAGCTATAAAATAAATTTGTGCAATAAATTGGAGAAGAAACATCTTTCTCTAGTATTCCTTTCAGGAGAAGGATGGTATTCTTTTAAAAGAAACTCCTTGGGTGGTCCTTTGGGGATAGGAGCTTAGACCCTGATGCACCCAGAAATTTTCTGCCTGAAACAGAAAGAAGCATTTGTTGTTCCAGGAAAAAAGAAATAAGAAACGAAAGTGTGGAAAGTGGTGCCATGAGATGACTGAGGACCACAAACTCCAAAATGAGACATATTAACATTGAATATAAATGGACTAAATGCTCCACTTAAAAGATACAGAGTGGCAGAATGGATGAGAATTCACCAACCAAGTAACTGCTGTCTTCAAGAGACACCTGACACATAATGACTTGCATAAATTTAAGGTAAAGGAGTGGAAAAAGATATTCCATGCAAATGGACATCAAAAGCAAGCATGAGTAGCTATTCTTACATCAGACAAAACAAACTTTAAGGCAACAGCAGTTAAAAAAGACAAGGAGAGACATTGTAAAATCATAAAAAGGACTAGTCCAACAGGAAAATATCACAATCCTAAATATATACGCACCTAACACTGAAGCTCCCAAATTTATAAAACAATTACTACTAGACCTAAGAATAAGATAGACAGCAACACAATAATATTGGGGGACTTCAATACTCCACTGAAAGCACTAGACAGGTTATTAAGACAGAAAGTCAACAAAGAAACAATTGACTTAAACTATACCCTAGAAGAAATGGACTTAACGGATATTTACAGAACATTCTACCCAACAACTGAAGAATATACATTCTATTCATCAACACATGAAACATTCTCCAAGACAGACCATATGATAGGGCACAAAACAAGTCTCAACAAATTTAAGAAAACTGAAATTATAGCAAGTACTCTCTCAGTGAAGTACAATTATAGCAAGTGCTCTCCACAGTGGAGTAAAATTGGAAATCAACCCCAAAAGGAACCCTCAAAACCATGCAAATACATGGAAATTAAACAACCTGCTTCTGAATGATCATTGGGTCAACAACAAAATCAAGATGAAAATTTAAAAATTCTTTGAACTTGGCCGGGCGTGGTGGCTCACACCTGTAATCCCAGCACTTTGGGAGGCTGAGGCGGGTGGATCACGAGGTCAGGAGACCGAGACCATCCTGGCTAACACGGTGAAACCCCGTCTCTACTAAAAATACAACAAATTAGCCGGGCGTAGTGGCAGGCGCCTGTGGTCCCAGCTATTCAGGAGGCTGAGGCAGGAGAATCGCTTGAACCTGGGAGGTGGAGATTGCAGTGAGCCGAGATCGTGCTACTGCACTCCAGCCTCGGTGACAGAGCTAGACTCTGTCTCAAAAAAAAAAATAATAAAAACAAAAAATAAAAAATATTTGAACTGAATGATAATAGTAACATAACCTATCAAAACCTCTGGAATACACCAAAGGCGGTGATAAGAGAAAAGTTCATAACATTAAATGTCTACACACAAAAAAAAAGTTGGAAAGAGCACAAATACAGAATCTAAGGTCATACCTCAAGGAGCTAGAGAAACAAGAGCAAACCAAATTCAAACCCAGCAGGAGAAAAGAAATAACCAAGATCAGAGCAGAACTAAGTGAAATTGAAACAAAAAAATAAAACAATACAAAAGATAAATTAAACAAAAACCTGGTTCTTTGAAAAGATAAGCAAAATTGATAGACAATTAGAGATTAACCAAGAAAAGAAGAAAGAAGATCCAAATAAGCTCAATTAGAAACAAAATGGGAGATACTAATATACAACTCATACCACAGAAATACAAAAGATCACTCAAGGCTACTTATGAACACCTTTATGTGGATAAACTAGAAAACCTAGAGGAGGTGGATAAAGCCTAAAAATATACAAGCCTCCTGCATTAAACCAGGAAGAAATAGAAACTCTGAACAGAACAATAACAAGCAGCAAGATTGAAATGGTAATTAAAAAGTTACCCACAAAAGAAAAAGTCCAGGACTACACAGATTCACAGCTGAGTTCTATCAGGCATTCAAGGAAGAATTGGTACAAATCCTATTGATAAAAAAGATAGAGAAAGAGGGAATCTTCCCTAAATCATTCTATGAAGCCAGTGTCACCCTAATAACAAAACCAGGAAAGGACATAACAAAAAAAGAAAACCAAAGACCAATATGCCTGACAAACATAGATGCAAAAATCCTCAATAAAATACTAGCTAACCAAATCTATACCATTTATGCCAGCATAGTACTGGTATAAAATAGGCACATAGACCAATAGAACAGAATAGAAAACCCAGAAATAAACCCAAATACTTACAGTCAACTGATCTTTGACAAAGCAAACAAAAACAGAAAGTGGGGAAAGGGCACTCCTTTCAACAAATGGTGCTGGAACAATTGGCAAACCACATGTAGGAAAAGGAAACTGGACGCTCATCTCTCACCTTATACAAAAATCAACTCAAGATGGATCAAAGACTTAAATCTAAGACATGAAACCATAAAAAATCTAGAAGATAACATCAGAAAAACCTTCCTAGACATTGGCTTAGGCAAAGACTTCATGACCAAGAATCCAAAAACAAACATACACAAAAAAGAAACAAAGACAAATAGATGGTACTTAATTAAACTAAAAAGTTTCTGCACAGCACAAGAAATAATCAGCATATTATATCATTATATTATAATAATATAAACAGGCAACCCACTCTGTGGGAGAAACTCTTCACAATCTAAGCATCTGACAAAGGACTAATATCCAGAATCTACAAAGAACTCAAACAAATTTACAAGAAAGAAACAATACCAGCAAAAAGTGGGCTAAGGACATGAATAGACAATTCTACAAATGGCCAACAAACATACGAAAAAATGCTCAACATCACAAATTATCAGGGAAATGCAAATTGCATTGCAATACCACCTTTCTCACGCAAGTACGGTCATAATTTAAAAATAAAAAAAATTAGATGTTGGCATGGATGTCCTGAAAAGGGAACACTTTTATGCTGCTGGTAGGAGTAGTACAATCACTATGGAAAACTATGGAATCTTTAAGAAAAGATTCCTTAGGGAACTAAAAGTAGATCTACCATTTGATCCAGCAATCCCACTCCTGGGTATGTACCCAGAGGAAAGAATAGTCATTATTTTTTCACTTGCACACTTGCACACTCATGTTTATAGCAGCACAATTCGCAATTGCAAAAATATGGAACTAGCTCAAATGCCCATCAATCAATGAGTAGATAAAGAAAACCTGGTGTATATATACTATGGAATACTACTTAGCCATAAAAAGGAATGAAGTAAAAGCATTTGCAGCAACCTGGAAGGAACTGGAAAACACTATTCTAAATGAAATAACTCAGGAATGGAAACACCAAACATTGTATGTTCTCACTTATAAGTGGGAGCTAAGCTATGAGGATGCAAAGGCATAAGAATGATACAATAGAATTTGGGGACCCAGTGGGGAAGGGTGGGAGAAGGGGTGAGGGATAAAAGACTACACATTGGATTTAGTGTACACCGCTCAGGTACTGGCTGCACTAAAATCTCAGAAATCACCACTAAAGAACTTATCCATGCAACAAAACACCACCTGCTCCCCAAAAACCTGTTGAAATAAAAAATAATAATAATAAAATTTCAGATAATAACAAACTGGGAGAAAGAAGGGAGAAGCACACCACCTGTTTTCCAAAAAAATGATTGAAATAAATAAATAAATAGATAAATAACAATCAATTAGTTCTGCATACCATTTCCAGTTCTGGTAAAAACTAAATGCATACACATACAAGAGCTATAAAATACTAAGTATATAATTTTATGCAACTTAAATGCCCTTATGTTGTTTTTGTTGTTGTTTTTTTTTTTTTGGGTTTTTTTGAGATGAAGTCTCGCTCTATGGCCCAGGCTGGAGTGCAGTGGCGCAATCTCGGCTCACCGCAACCTCTGCCTCCTGGGTCCAAGCGGTTCTCCTGCCACAACCTCCTGAGTAGCTGGGATTACAGGCACCCACCACCACACCCAGCTAATTTTTGTATTTTTAGTAGAGACGGGGTTTCACCATGTTGGCCAGGCTGGTCTCAAACTCCTTACCTCAAATGATCCGCCTGCCTCGGCCTCCCAAAATTCTGGGATTACAGGTGTGAGCCACCGTGCCCAACCTATATTAGTATTTAAAAGTGGCATTGCCAGTAAAGAACAGTAAAATTCATGCTAAAAATTTACATTTGTAATTTTTCTCTACTTGGAACAACACTAAGGAGAAAAAAGACACTTCCAGTTGAGAGACAATGGAAGAAAAGAAAAAGCATTATATTTTAGTATCTTTAATGGTATTTTTCTGCTTTTTGAATAAAGGGCTTAGAATTTTTCTCTTGCACAGGGTCCCAGAAATTAAGTAGCCATCCCTAGTGGAGAGTTATAGTTATGTAGACAGAGAGCCTCCTCCCATTTCTGTCTTTTCCTGGGGAGCTGAGAGTAAAGCCTCCTTTTTCCAAAGGAGAAGTTTGGAAGGGTGAAGTGGTATTAACTGGTGTCTGCTTCCTGAGACCCTCCATCCTAGGGTTTTTTCCCACAATTCATCTGTACCAGTTATCTATTGCTGCTGTCACAAATCACCACACACTTGTGGCCTAAACAACGAAATGTATTATCTTACAGTTCTGTAGGTCCTAAGTTTGGTTCTGGTCTCAATGGTGTCAGATCAAGGTGTGGGCAGGGCTGCATTCATTTCTGAAGGCTTTAGGGAAGAATCAATTTATTTGCCTTTCCCAGCTTCTAGAGGCGGCCTGCATCCCTTGACTCATGGGCCCCTCTTCCATCTTCAAAACTAGCTACTTTGGGTTCAAAACTAGCTACTTGTGCTGTTTTTCCCATAGTTGTTTCCATCCATGAAAGGTTCTCTGCTTTTACAAACTCAAGTGATTAGACTGGGTTCACTTGGATAATCTAGGCTAATTTCCCCATCTCAAGATCCATCACCTTCATCACATCTGCAAAATTCATGTAAAGTAACATATTTAGCCTGATCCCTGGTTTTATGTCCTAAGCCAAGCCACCATTTATGAAAACAGGCCATAGGATTTTAAGTATAGCTGTTCAAAATCATTCAATCAAACCATTTTTTCATAGTATGATGCTGTTAATCTTTTAATGACAAGTCAGCACACAAGAGCATTGGTTTGTACAACTGCATAATTTGTAACTCGTGAAAAATGTAACTTGCTCTTTGGTTATTACTATAGTTTTTTGACTCTAAATGCCTTGAAGTTGCATGAAGCAGAATCTAATTATCCATCCTGCTTCAGTTGGAGTTCATTTCTGCCAGATCTTTTAAAATAGAGAAACCAAAAGCTCTAAGGCATAAAAATTTCCTTGGCATTCAGAAATTTATGTCTAGACTGCTTTCTCTTAAATTCATTAGATTATATTCCTAATTCCACAAGTATGATTCCATATTATACACAAACATAACATGTGTACCAATAAATAATGGTGATGTTCCTTATGTCTGAATAAACTTCAATAAATAAGAATATTAAAACAAAGGGGAGATAAGTGTAAGAAAAATATTTTTCTTTGAATTTAATTCAAAGATTATCATATTAACTTTCAAAAATTATTACAATAATGAATATTAACTGCAAAGATACATTCAGAAAAATACCTACTACTGCTTCTGATTTAATAGAATAAAAATATACATATTATTTTCTCTTTTCCTGCAGTCCTGCTGAAATATCAGAAAAATATGTAAGAAATATATGCAGGAGAGGCTATTGCAAAGATGACAGCTTGTCTGTCCAGTGACTCCCCAGAGGAATGCCAAGCTTGTTATTCACTAGGGCAGGGAGAAAACATGGACCACGGGATGATAAAAAGGGACCACAGTAGAGCTGCTCAGAATATTTCCAGATGCCATAATTAGAGTGCTGTCCAATTGCCCCTAAATCCTCCCACTCCCCTTCACAGGAGCCACAAGGATCTGGTTCTTTTATTTCCAGGTTGCAGATCCAGGATGTCACAAGCCATGAAAGAAAATGGTAATTTTAATATTCCTTGAAAACCATCCCTTTGTCTAGATTTTCATATTTACTGTATAGAATTATACCTAGCACTCACTGGTAAAATTTTTAACACTTTTGTTTGAAGTTGATATATTTGCTTTGACATTTATATGTTCTTAATTTATATTTTCCTCTCTGCTTCTTTGGTGAGACTAGCCAGTTTGCTTTTCCTTAGAATATTCAGAGAATCAACCTTGATATAATTGATCACAAAGTCTTTTTGATTTAATCCACTAAGTAGTTCTCAAAAACTTTCATTTCATACTCATCATTATCAGGCTTGGCCAAGCTACCATCATCCTTTGCATGGCGACTATGAAAGCCCCTAACAGCGCTGCTGACATTCTCTCCCTAACCCTCCTCCAACCCATATTCCACACTGCAGGCAAAGTGACCAGCACAATAACCCAAATTTTACTCCTTCTCCATCCCTGCTTAAACATTTCAGTGACTTCCGATTATGTACCCATAGGAAAAAAAGCAAAACTCTAAGATGGCACGCATATGAAGTTCTGCCCAGTCAGCATCACACTGACCTATGATCTCCAACCTTTTCTCACCTCATGTTCCCCACTTGTTCTCTCTGTTTCATCCACACTGGATTCCCTTCAGTTACTGCCGTATCCATTGGGCCTTCTGCCTTAAACAGTCAACCCTGCTCTCTTTGGTTAGATAATGCCTACTCTTCCTTCAGATCACAACACAAATATTTTTCCTCAGAGGAATCTTTACTAATCTCTCTTACACGACCAAAGCCCCTAAAATAGTCTTTCTTGGTGCCATGTGCTGTAAATGTAATCATGGAGGTTTTACATTATTTAGTGAGATGGCTTATTCCTGTCTCTCTGCCTCACTAGAAGGGAAGATCTATGAGAACAGGCTCCTGCTCATTGGGCTCCCACTTTATCTCTGGTACTTAGTAGAGGACTTGGCACATAGTAGACACTCAATAAATTTTTGTTAAATTAACTAAATTAATGATATTGACAAATCTATGAAATTTTATGATAAAATGGCATAGTATGGATGGTGAACCTTCTGAATTTGAAAATAAGTGTTTAAGTCCTTTAATTATTTCTTAGATTCTTCCCTTTTAACTCTGCTTTCTTTTTCTGGTACTCCCAAAAATTTTTATTGAACATCGTCAGGTTTCTTAAGTTTCTTATCTTTTCCCCACAATGGTAGATCCCTTTGTATTTTGGGTTATTTTCTAATACATTTCTTTGACTTTATCTTCTTAATAACATTTTTAATAGTTAATGTATTTTAAAAATTTAAGCATCCTCTTATTTTCCCTTTGTGGTGTGCTTTTGTTTTTCATTGATAGTATTATCTCCTTTGAAATCGTCTTCTGCCCCTGCATTGTTTCTGTTTTCTTTGAATTCCACTTTCTCTTAATTTGCTTTCATTCCAGTATTTTATCTTGAAGGAGTCTCTCAAATGTTTAATGATTATTTTTTGGTTTATTCATATTTAAGAGAAACTAATGGGCAGATTGGAAGTTCTGCATGAATGGGTACATTTTGTTTAGTGGAAGCCTGCCAATTTGTTGAGATGTCTCCAAATGTTAGTAACCATATGTCTTTCCTTGGGAACTATTCAGTTTGTCCAAGGAAAAGTCTTCTGAGGAAACCTTAATCTACCAGCAATGACGCGTCAAGAGGCACAAATCCAAAAGGTAAAAGAGAGCTGGATGGTCTCACCATTCAGTAGGTGTGTTTTTACATAAACATCTCTTTTTGGTATGGCAACTCTTGTGTATATTCTGCTATGCCTTCTGTCCCTGGCCTGGAATCTCTTGGTTCAATTACCCCAAAAAAAGAAATCTCCAGATTCCTGCCAAAGTCATGGAGAGACAGGTTCCTACCTGTATAGGATGCAGGATGGGACCAAAGTGTCTGACCGATGTGTTTCAAACATTTCCATGTTTTGAGCCTTGAGTTTATAACTTTAAGAATTTTCATTACAATCATCACCACTACCTTTTGGAACAACAACAACAAAAAAACTTAAAGGAAGTGATTTCATAATTTCTCTAATTTTATTCCAAGACTGGAAGTCCCTTTATAATCAGTAATCATTCAATGGGACTCTTTCTCTTTCCCCTACTACTAGGATCACCAGTTGTTAACATCTGGCATACATAAAAGATGGGTTGTTTCACATATTTCCTTAGCTATTTCTTCTCCAACAGTAGAAATAATATATGGATTCAAGTTTAAGTAACTCAATAATTAAATCCACTATAGCCAGGGCATTGTTCTTTGCTTGAGAAGCAGCATGGATCCCTGGGAAAAACATATTAAACTGGGAACAAAAAATCCCAAATATTAATTCTCACTTTCCCAAAACTTTCAGCCTGTACCTTTAGACAGCTCACTTACCTTTCCTGGACATCAGTTTTTACTCATCTATAAAATGATGATATTGGATTAGTGATCTCTAAGATTCTTTCTATTTCCAACATCACAGCATTGAGAAGGGTGAGGTGATTGAGCATTGAGCAAACTATAATTGTAGATGAAAATACCTACTGTGCTTGTAACCACTCTTTAAGGAGACTTTGGCTCTCTAACACTTTCAGTAATTGGCTGACAAGATTAATTACAAGGTCACCTAATGATGAAAATATTATAACATATACTGATATGTTCAGACAGAATCAGAAATATTAAACTCATAAAATTGAGACCTTTCAAATTCTGACCCTCTTTAACAAATAAAAATTAGTTTAACTTCTTCCTTAATGCTGCCAGAGCTGTTTCTTTCTATAAATGTACATAAATAATTTCATATATTTACATAGTACTTTGTAGTACTACATAAAAATGCTTCTCAAACCATTTTTACAGGGATTGGCATTACATTCATTTCTCAGTTGGCAATCTAAGGAACCTCTAAGTGTCACAAAGACATGTGGCAAAACCAGGACTTCTAACTTCAAGAATGGTTTCCATATCTGTGCTGCTTTCCTACTAGAAAGTTGATAGACACACTATCCTTGTAAATAGGTATACCTCAATCATTTATTAAAAGTCAAAATTAACTAAAGATTATGAGCAAGTAAGTATTAGATCTAGTGCTTCATTCCCAATCCACCTTCAGATTTCAAAGTACTTTTCACCTCCCAACTGAAATAAGCATGTTCAGCTACACTTCAGTCAAACCTATGTGTGTTACATCTAATATTTCACAAGGTTCTGACTGGCCTACACAGCTAATGTCATCATCTCTAAAATGATGTTCCACAATTATTTTACAATTCTTTATTTGAATTAGTCACCAAACTTGGAACACAAAATAACATTTAGGTTTAGTTACTTCATCTATCCAACAAAGCAACACATCCTTCTCCTTTGTAACTTCCTGGTGTCCTAAACCTTAAAAGGACACTGGCACTTGTTAGGTAGGGCACTCCATCCAAATCTGAAATCCTCTCCAAGTCTTATCATGGCACTGAGTTTGTGTCCCTCCGTGCCACTGAAGAGTTCCCTTCCTAGAGCAGAAAGATCATATCCTTTGTTCCCTCGATTACTTCCATTAGGCTTTAGAAGCACATGGATAATGTTGAATTGTCCATAATGAATGTCTAGTGCAGCATCCCCTTCATTCCAAATGGATGCGAACACTGTCCTCGAAACAAAGCTCTCACTCCTTCGGGGAATGGGTCATTTAATCTCAAGAGTTTAAGCTGTCAATGTCAAGAAGGTGCATTTCAATACAGAATTCACTGAAGCAAGCAACAAATTTAAATGGATCATCTCATCCCAACTCCTGTGACTAATTCCCAACCACAACTTAGATTCATGAAAAAAAGTCATCTTTCCTGTAATTAAATGGAAAGTAGTGGATTAAATTACAAATTAAAATTTCAGATTTTCATTCTGTGAGATTATATAACAATATATGCAATTTATTGGTTTACAAAACTGAAATGTCTAGAATTATGACTGAAAAAGTGACTTGATACAGTTACTCAAACAATAGCACCCAGAATCTGTTTATTTCCATGGCTCTGCTATGCTTCCATAGTGAAAGTTGCAGCCTCAGGCTCCACCCAGTGACCTCTGACAGTGCACTATACCTTTGTGGTAGCAAAGTGCCTGTGGGGGTTATAAAATTTACATCCTTATGTTCCAGCAAAACTTTTCTTCTATCTTATTGGCTCTGTCTGGGTTATTTACCCATCCCCCAGCAGATCTCTATTGAGGGTAATTTGACCATTCCTAAGGTCAGTTCAACTACATTCAAACCATAATGAGTTAAATGAGTATTTTCCAGACTATAAATGATAAATCATTTGTGGGACATGCATCAGTACAATGAACTCCCAGCAATAATTTTTTAAAGAATAGACTCCTATGGAATAGAAATATAAATATCAGACTGTATAACCATTAGTAATATTTTTGCTGAAACTTGCTTAGTTTCATATAAATGTATGTGTTTGGTGATAAGTGATGCAATTTGCAATTTATTTTTCTCTGAGCTGCAGAGGAAAAGTTTTAAAGGTAGTACTTAGAGTAAGAGAAATTTGAATACTCTCAAGAAAAATCAGGGTGTCAATTGGAAATAGAAATGGATGCTGGGTAGCAGCCAAAATATAAATATATACAACATAGAATCTATTTGATACCCATTGATTTATAATCTTTCTAATATGCATATTATTTGCTTTTTTTTTTTACAAGCCATAGTTTACTAGAGTATGAACAATAGCAGTTTGACAAATGTTTTCTGTGAGTTTGGAAAAGCAATATTTTTTAAAGGCCATTTAAATCCGTCATCTCTGCCACCTTGAGTAAGAGGTATATTTCATCTTCTAACAAGCTTATTCCACTCAGCCGTGAAGTAAGACCTTTAGCTCTAAAGGCCTTCTGGATGCTCAAATACCAAGTTATTTTTTCCAATTCTCATCTTTTTTATTCACAATGGTTATTTTTATTTTAAACTAGATACTTTCCTATAACCAGTTTCTAGATAGTGTCTGAGTATATAAGGAGGGAACAGGATAACTGAAAGATGACAGGACCATCAGTCAGGACTTCCAGACTCCAGCTCCAGTTCTACTATCGATCAGTTCTAAAATCTTGGGACTTCAAGTTCTTTGTGGCTCAGCGTTCTTACATGTTAAAAGAAGGAAAATGGTGAAGTTTATTTCTAAGAGAACTTTATCTTCACATGACCCATCTGAGTAACAATAAGTTGAGGAGGGTTATTCAGCTGTTCAGAGAAAAAAAAATGACACCTTTTATCTCTATATCACAAGATCATAGCACAGTAGGAAAAAAGTCTCCTGACATCAGCTACCTAAGACGAAAGCACACCCAGCAAGAGGAAACAGACACAAGGCCAGTCAAGAAAGGGTCAGGAGTTTACTCTCAGTATATTCTCAACCTGAGACCCTTCCTTCTTCCTGCTCAGCTCTGCACCTTTACCTTACTCACAAATTCTTCATCCGTTTTTGTAATTCTCTAGACTGTTTCTCTATCCTTATTTCACTCTTCCCAGGTAATAATCAGATGGTCTGGGACCTAGAACCCTAAGAGGTGAGACAGACAAATAGAGTCTGTCTCACATTAGTTCTGCAATCTCTGTCAAATTACCTAAGTACTCAGTTTTAATAAGATAGAGATAAAAATAAAGACCTCACAGTGTTATGTTTACTAAATGAGTTAACAGATATATAATATGTAGCACATTGTCTGGATATTAGCAGGCTGTCACTAAGAGGAAAAGAGTACCATATTAATAAACAAGTGGTAAATAATGCTTAATTTCATCAGTAACAAAAGAAATACAATATACTACTTTTTACCAGTCATATTACCAAAGATGAGAGTGATTATGCCCCAAATAGTTTTAGATATGAGACATAAACATACAGAGCTATGTTTAAAAATCTGGAATAGTTATCTTTGTGTTGAGGCAAAAGTAAGGGGAAAGAAACAAATGGGGAATCAGAAATAATTTTTTTAATGATCCAATACCAATTTCTTGACAAACTGCCTGAATAACCCAATTCTGCTCTCAACATGATATAGCTCTTTGAATCCTGTATCCATTGTTCAAACCATTAATGAGAGTTTAATCTGAGTTGTGTCAGAAAATATTCATCGCATCTCCTGTGTGTCCAGGTCTTAGCTATGTATTATGGTGAATATACACCTAGAAAATAAAATAGGTATTCTTAAAAAATACATAAACTTATTAAGAAGACAAGACTTCACATTAGAATGTAGAAGGCTACTCTCTACAAAGAGCAGAAGGCTAGAGATAAGTGGCCAGTTATGGAGTACAGGCTAAGTGTAGAATTACAGACAAGGAAAATCAGTTATCAGCTAACTAATCAGAAAAAGTTTCATGTATGAGGTGGAATCTGCTGTTGTATTCTACAGAGAAATCCTTGTGTTTCCACTGGCCTCTAAATAAAGTTATAGGTTTAAGATGTATTTCCAAAAACCTCGGAAACTTACTGAGATAAAATAAATGAAGAAATGGTGTTTTTGAAAACATTAGAAAGTTTCTGCCAGTGTACTCATTTCATCCAGAATTGTCCTCAAGTCCTTTCTGACTCTGCAGCTAAAAGACTTTTCTTGCTAGAACAATCCACATGGGTCTCTGGACTAGCTACAGCTATGGATGGAGCAGCCCCCTCTCATCTACATGCTATTTGTGGCTATCACGTCAGATTCCCCAGGAAGAAAATGCTGAGATGAGTTTAGTATTTAAGATAGTTATTATGAAGTGTTATTGGGCTCAATTCCCGTGGAAAAGAGGAGAAAAATTAGGACTGGGCAAAAGAAGTTGAGCATCAATGCAATTTCAATGAAGGCCTCAGCCACCTCTATGGAAAGTTATAATGCTGAATGTCCCTTTAGAGTTGTTCTGAGTTAGGAGGGTAAGGTCAAAATTTTACATCCCATGTAAATCAGCCATTGCATGCAGGTCACCCTAGAAATGTAATATGACCTTGCGTGAGGTGGCTTCTCAGCAGAGGCATATTCTTCTGTGGAGGGTGACAGCTGAAGTTTTTCTGATTGCAGCATCCCAACAACAAAGGGAGTAAATTCTTTAATTCTGAAGTGGAAATCTGGGTGATGGATCATATTGTTCACCTTGTGGCCCATGTCACTAATGCTGCATCAGCTCAATACCCCTGTGGACTCCCAGCACAGAGTTCTGCTGTCATCTCCATGCACATTCTCCCTCTTCTTATTGATGTTACTGCTTAATGACCCCAAACTATACCCACCACTAGAAAGAGAGGCAGGGATGTGAGAAGCCTTAGCATAAAAGTTACACTCAGTCATAATTCTGGACTCAGGGAACCTCTAGTCGACCTGGTCTGTATGTGTTACTGGAATTGTTTTTTTCTCCATTCCAACCTACTAGATGATGGAACAGTGGCTCCATGTCCTATCAGTACAGCAGCCTGACTGCTTCTCTTCTCATTATGCCTGAATGAAGTAGGACTCCAGGAAAACTTCCCACCCAACTCAGCATAAATGACATTACCACAGTGTGAAGGCCAACAGTGTAGCTGTAAGACAGATTGAGCTCTAAGGAACATACAAAGCTATTCATCTGTAAATGTGTTTGGAAGACTCAAGATCAATAAAGACAAATTAATTTTAATCTGGAAAACACAACTGAGAAGACAGGCCTCTTGTGGAAGAGTATAATATTATTCATTCCAGATTTCAACATGGCATGCTGGAGATCTATGTTAAAGGGGCTGCGAGCCATGTGGAGCTAGGCCTGCAGCAAAGAAAAGAAGGTTGTAAGCTAGTCATTTCTCAGTATAGCACTATGTCCAAAGTGTCTGCTCCAGAATCAGATCTGGGGCGAAAGCCCAGCTGCTTGGCTAAAGAGCTCTGTGATGTATTGCTTGTTGCTTTGCCTCTCAACCTGTGTCTACTGGTTAGCAAATGGGAGAAAATATCTTTATCTTACAGGATTTTTGTGAAGACTTAATGAAAATAAATAAATAAATAATGCTCCAATCTAGTAACTGGCAGATGGTGGGCACTCAGAAAGCAGGAGCTGTAACTATCACTTCATATGGAATCTGATGTGGCCTGGTATCTCCAAGGAGTAAGCTATACTTTGTAATCAGGAACATTTAGATTTTTTCTGTGCTGCATCCGTATTTAATTATTTGTTATTTCTCACTGTTAAGATGTTTGAAAAGTTCAGGTTTTCTATGTTGCTTTCAAAGAAAATCAAAATCAGAATTTACCTTCATGCATTGGCCAGAGCACTAAGACAGGAGCTGGGCACCCTGTGGTCAGTCAACACAGTGGTTGTGTTAATCACTAAAGCACAGAAATACATTGTAAAAAGCTGGGCCTTGGTCTCCTCTTTTCAGGAGGTTATCTGAGTTTAGAGGTTCTGGGTATCATTATATTAAGGATGTTGTTTTCTGTAATACCTGTATTGCATAAGTAAAGATTCCTCTTTACAGGAGGTTATCTGAGTTTAGAGGTTCTGGGTATTATTCTTTTTAGGAGATTCCTCTTTTCAGGAGGTTATCTGAGTTTAGATGTTCTGGGTATTATTATATTAAGGATGTTGTTTTCTGTAATACCTCTATTGCATAAGTAAAGATTCCTCTTTTCAGGAGGTTATCTGAGTTTAGGGGTTCTGGGTATTATTATATTAAGGATGTTGTTTTCTATAATACCTATATTGCATAAGTAAAGATAATACCTGTATTGTATAAGGAAAATGTATTGGGTCTTTTTTGACAGAATGCTGACATGACTAAAAGCAGTTGACTCTTAAATGCCTACAGGGGCTTGACAGGCAATACATAAGTGAAGCAAGTCAGATGTAAGAACAGTTTGAGAGACAGCAGGAAGTGTGCAGGGCTGTGGTGTTCAGGACATGTAAAGAACAAATGCCCTGTCCTAATGTGGGGATGCTAACAGTCCGAAAATGTGGACCACAAATTCCTACAATTTCCAGTTTTTTCCAGAAGACAGGTATCGGGAGGTGGGTATGAAGTTTATCAGTTTTTCACCACTGGCCACTAATTCAATATTTTAGACTCAGTCCCACCTGATCTGTGCAGGTCCTAAAACTTATATAGAAAGAGAATTAAGGAGAAGATGATTAAAGTGAAAATATCAATACTTTCATAACTTCAGTTATTACTTCTCTTTATTAATAGTTCTCAGTGTTTTAAGCACGGAGAATATTTCTTTATAATTAAGAACTGTGTTGTTATAAACAAGCATGCAGGAGAGGGCCCTGGTCCAGAACATGCCAACCTGGAACGTTTAACAAGACTCAAGTGAGTGAACATAAGAAACCATGGTTGATCACTCATATTTATACTAAACTTCATGTATAATTACAAAAGTGATCATTTGAAATGAAATTCTCTGTACTGATGCTCATCACCTCAGGAACACAAAATAGAGTCCTCTTTTATTTCCCCAATTCCAAATCTTTACAGTAACTCCATCCATCTTTCAACTGTCATTTTCCATAGTCAATGCACCTCATCTCTTCTAACTCTAAACCAGAACACATGATCCAGGGTGTATTAGTCCATTCTCATGCTGCTATAAGGACATACCTGAGACTGGGTAACTTAGAAAGAAAAGAGGTTTAGTTGACTCACAGCTCAGCATGACTGGGGAGACCTCAGGAAACTTGCAATCATGGTGGAAGGGGGAGCAAGCACATCCTCCTTCACATGGCAGCAGGAAACAGAAGAATGAGAACTGAGTGAAGTGGGAAGCCCGTTATAAAATCATCAGATCTCGTGAGAACTTACTCAATATCATGAGAACGACACAGGGGAAACTAACCTCATGATTCAATTATCTCCACCTGACCCTGCCTTAGAGAGGGCAGAACACGTGGGGATTATTTACAATTCAAGGTGAGACTTGGGTAGGGATACAGAGCCAAACCATATCACAGGGATGCAGAGAATTTGTTAGATCCCTTGTTCCAGCTAGGTACACAACACAGTAATTCACAGTAGACAGTAGATAGAAACCTGAACCTGGGCACCAATCTTCCCTCCTGAGGAAATAACAGTGCTGAGAAACACAAGTCAGTCTCAGATGTTAAGATTCCAGCCAGGAGGAGAAACAGTGTCCAAAAGAAGATAAACAGACTGCGGTGGATGTCAAAGAAGTGATCAAGGTACTCCGCACACTCTCTGCCTCTTGGAGCTGCCAACATGTGAAAGCTGGGCTGACTCTTGCTAGGACCAACTGATTATTGTATAATTCAATATTACTGTTGACAATAAGTCCCCTTCTTTTTTTCCTTGTTTGAAACTATTTTCAAAGTTTTAAAAATCACAGAAAATGCTTGGTTCTCATACCAATCTGTTCTCATACCCTACTACCTTGTGCTCCTACTTGTCTTACTTTAGGTTCCATTTTCTTCATCCCTCTGTAAGTTTAGCTGAGTTTCAGAATAATGCTATGGCCACAAAATAAAAAGCAATCTTAAAAAATCATTATGAGACAGAGTGCAGATGTTGGAGGGTTGAGGGGAGCAGGGGTGTCTATAAAAAGGCCATATGCAAGAGACCAGGAATGCAGGGCCTTAGAGCACTCCAAGTAAACAACAGCAGAGCTCAGTGGTCAATACATGGCATTACAGGGGTACAAACAAAGAAACCGAAGGACCAGAAAAATTTGTAAGATATCGTTAAGATAATTAAGGCAGAAACCAGTTAATAAAATCAGAGTCCTCAAGGCACAGCTGTACTCAGGATCAAATCTTACCTTTGCCACGTCAGGGAAAACCCAGCAGAAAGAACCCCAGAGAACTGGACTAAGTACATGATTTATTTCAGAGCGTGTGTAAAAGGGTGAGCTTGGTCAGATTTCTGCTTTTTGGGAATGTGGATCATGAACTTTTGCATCTTCTAACTTTTAAAGAGAAGACAAATTTCATTTAAAATGATCAAATATTCAATGACAGCCACCAATTCAAAACTGAGGCACTGCCCATCCTAAATAAAGTTAGAGGTTAAATGATTCCACTGTATACGCTGCACATCTAGGAGAAGAACTTAAGAGAGGTTGTTATATCAAGAAAAAAAATTGGTAAATTGTTCAGAAATAGATGCACTTTTCTAATTTAAGGGAGAAATGACTTTTTACATTAGGATTAGGTGAAAAATACTATTTTGTGATAAATAATGTGTAATTTGGCAAATAAATCTTAAGATATTTCCTTTAATCTTTAGTTAAAGATTAAAAAGATTTCTTTTCTTTATTAGTTGATTAAAGATTAAAGAATATGGCTTATAGATTTTCTCAGAGCTATTCAGATCCACTCTGGACATAGAACTTTCTGGAACTGAAAAAAATTTCATTGATATCAGGTATTCTCACTTTGTGCTTAAGTCTGTCATTCTTTCTAGCCAAACAGAAGAAAATGGCTAGGACCACATAATTCCTGGTCCTAGACACGGAAGATGAATTGAGTTCCTTTGAAAATGATGGATGTATCCTGGGATTAAATTTTTCCTAAGTTTTGTGTTTTTTCCAGGTCTGATAGAACATAAATGCCACAAATCAAGGAAAAGGAAAGACATACAGCAGTGCATTCCCACAAGAACATCAGCTGAGTCCCAGAGGATCTGTTTGTACATCAGATTATAGTTCATTTCTCACTTACCAAGAGCTCACTCCCATATACATCTGATAAAGCAAGCTAAATTGTGAAATTCAGAAATGACCAAGGTTGGCTAGCAATGCTGTACAACACAAAAGGAAGCAATTTCAGGGCACCTGAGATGCAAGCTACATAGAAAATAAAACTTCTTTCACTTGTCATTTACCTTGGGATAGGTTGGTCAAAATCATAAAGAATATTTGCAGACTGAACACTCCCATATACTTTGTTTGCACTGGAAAAAAATGTCATATACTACCATGTTTTCAAATATATTTTTTAAATATATCAAAGAAGAAATAGGGAGAGGTATGAACACCAAGAAAACAAAGTAAACACAGTCAATCTAATTAGATCCATTAACTGTTGAGTATATGCACGGTAAATGCATCTGACAGCAATAACTTAAGCACATTCTTAGAATGACACTGAATGACAGTCGCACCTGAATTTGTGTTCTGAGCTAGGGAACCTGGAACTGGCCAACCCAGAGATTGATTCCTTGTCTATGAGGAACACCTGAGACCTCAGCCCATCCTGTGGAACACAGGCAGGCCATACAGAGGATCAAGGTCCTGAGTTTTGGGTTAAATGATGGTTGCCAGGCAGAAATCATTAAGGAGAGAACATTAAGTGAAAATGCTATCTAAACTGCATGTTGTGTGCAAGCAGTTGCGGTTTACCCACCCAGCCCCCCATCACTGTGCCGAGCAGTCAGGTTGTCCAGCCCGCTGCCACTGGGCTGTATATAAGGGAGTTCTCTTGTCCAGTCACTGCCACTGAACTCTCTCCACTGTATATCATCCCCTAAAAAAACTCCTTGCCTTGTTTGCTGGCTCTGGGTCTTTTCTTCCACCTCTTGAACCTAGTGCCTTCCCTATTGAGGTTAATAGGAGTTTGGCACAACAGTGCATGGTGATAAAAGTGAAGATGGCTACCAAGATAAATAAAACGCTAAAATAAATTTTAAGCTAAAATCTATTATAGCAGGGAAACACAATACAGACACGAAATGATAAATAGCTTCACAAGCTTAAAATACAAATACTTGGAGAGGAAAAATGAGATGAGGCACCACATTAACTACTAAAAGAAGGTCACCATCAAAACAATGAAGAATGGAATGACATTAGCCTAAGTTTTTATAAAGAAAGGGAATTTGAGCTCAGACTTGGGGGACAGGTGGGATAAATGTGTTTGTAGTGATATATTATGTTTTACACACTTAGATGTATAAAGATTGTGAAATTACTTTGTTCAAACCAAATGTGGTCCAAGCCTGTGTGGTCCCTTGAAGGCAAGTGATTACCATTCCTGTGCCAAGTTTGGACAGAAAAATCTTGGTTTTGCCAGAACCCTGGTACGTAAATTCTCTCCTACTTGGTGAAATAGAAGGCTTTTCAGTCCCTTTTCACATTTTGCAATACTTGTAGTCCCCTATATTCTTTACCTGCCAATCTCTTTCCACTCCCAGTCTCTATTGTGGGTTGAATGGTGTCCCCCAAAATACCTGTGCCCACCCAGAACCTCATAATGTGACTTTATTTGGAAATAGGGTCTTTGCAGGTATAATTAATTAATGATCACAAGATGAAATCATCCTGAGTTTAGGCTGGTCCCTAAATCCAAAGCAAGTGTCCTTATAAGGAGAGGACACAGAGACACACAGAAGAGAGCACCACATGAAGACTGAGGCAAAGACTGGAGCGGTATCTCCACAAGCCAAGGAATGCCAAGGATTGCCAGCAACCACCAGAAGTTAGAAGAGTGGCAGGAAACCTTTTCCCTCCAAGCCTCCAGGAGAAACCAACCCAGCTGATAATCTTGATTTTGAATTTCTGGTCTCCAGAACTGTTGGAAAATACATTTCTGTTGTTTCAACCCACCAACTTGTGTTAATTTTCTGTGGTAGCCCTAGGGAACTAGGACATTCTGCTTTTCTTTTTTTCCCCACCTGCAACACAGTCCCCTTCCTGCTCTCCCCAACCCCCAAACATAAATCTCTCAAAGACTTTGGACTTCTGAATAAAACAAAATCAGAAAAAATGGTTTGTCTGCCGATACCTTCTCTTTCCTGACTGGAGGAAGCTTCTCCTCTCCCACCCACCTTCCTTTATCCAACGATCTAAAAATGCCTAAGAACTTGTTTGGAAAAGAGAGGGGGAAAGAGATAACAAAACACAAATTTATATCTCAACAAATTATACTGCCACATGTGGAAAATACATAAACCAAAGTGCAGGTTGGAAAGTAAACACCCAGTATACCAGCTGGATGAGCCATGATCAAGAGACAATGAATACACCATTTAAGAGACAATAGAAAATTAAAATAAGAAAATAGTATAAGACAAATTTTAAAAGAGTTGAGTTATATTTAAAGGTCATTGAATGCAAGACTAAAAGGCTTGGACCAGACAAGACATACTCAAACTTTCGTGATTCACCCTTATCTCAGTAATTTTTTCATAGCATTCTTAGACTAAAAGAAATACCTCCATTTACTAAGTAGGTTCAAACAACGTAAGTATTTATGTCCTGACAACTTAGTAATCATTTGAAAAATACACTCCATTTAAAGAAAAAAATTACATTTTATTTCATACTTAAGCGGCCATGATTGTTTACTAATGAGACATGTATGCCTGCTGGGCATTGCATAATTCCTCAAGCATCAAAATCAGATTGGATATCACCACCCTCATTTCATGCTCCACATTATTTTCTTAGTGGTACTGTCTTGTATCACAGTAATTGTTGAAAATTCACCTTTGAAAAGAAAGGACATCATCAAAAGGAAAGAAAGATAATTAAAGGAATGTAAATATTAAAACTGTGAACCACTTTGAGATAGTCATTTTGACAGTGTCTGACAAATGTTCACTGTGCGTCCCTCAATTTTTACAAAAAAATCTGTGGTGTCCCTGTGAATTCACTACGGCACCCTGGGTGACTTAGCTCATAGTTTGGGAACTATGGGTTTTAACATTAATCTGTAATGAGAAACACTGAAGGTTTTTGAGCAGGGGAATGAACTAGTCAAACAATGTGATAGGCTTATTGAAGATTGGAATGCAGATTAGGTTGAAAACAAAGGAAGGCTGAAGAAGGGAGACTCAGAGTAAGGTATTTAATTATGCTAAAATATGTTTATGATAATTATTCTTTAGTATGTGTGAAACATGCTTATAAATGGAGTGCCTTTGAGTTGATTGGCAAAAGTAGGGATGCTACATTAATGACAGCAAAAAAAAAAATTCTGAATGTAAGCATTGTCTTGGGTTACAGAATATGACTTACTACACATAGGAAATGTTAAAATGTAAATAATATTGCAAATCCATTATTATTCTGAAAGCACAAGAAGATCCAGAGCTCAACATTCTGAAGCCCTCCTTCCTGGAGTAGACATTTGCTAAATGAGGTAGGCAACACAACATGCTCCATTTAAAATAGTGCCTCGAAAGCCAATGTCATCGAGGGTGTAGAAAGATTACCAAATTTCTACTTCTCTGTATAGTGGTCTTTTTATGAGAAATCATTTGCTCTAATATTGGAAGAATGCTTCAGATGCAAGGTTTAAGGGAGGGGGTTCTTGGAGGGAGTAGGGAATGATTGTCATTTGCTTGATTTTCAGGGGAAATTTGAGGTTTAGGAAATTTATATAAAAGGAGTTTTAGAAGCATAGTACTAAAATTAAATACTCTTGTATTAGTCCATTCTCACACTGTTATAAAGAACTACTTGAAATTGGGAGATTTATAAAGAAAAGAGGTTTAATTGACCACAGTTCCACAAGCTGTACCAGAAGCATGGCTGGAGAAGCCTCAGGAAACTTAAAATCACAATGGAAGGCAAAGGGAAAACAGGCACATCTTATATGGCCAGAGAAGGAGGAATAGAGAGCAGGGGGAGATGCTACACCGTTTTAAACAACCAGATCTCATGCGAACTCAGTCATTATCACAAGAATAGCAAGGGGGAATCCACTCCCATGATCCAATCACCTCCCAGCAGGCCCCTCCTTCAACACTGGGGTTCACAATTCGACATAAGATTTGGGCAGGGACAAAAATCCAAACCATATCAATTCTCTACCAATAAGATATTCTTCTATAATCTGTAGCCAAAAATACCTTCTAATAAGGATAGTAAAGAATTATTTCCTAAAGACAAAAAATAAAAATCAATTTTTCCCCCCAAAGAAAACAGAGGACCAAGATTCAGGAGACCTGGTTCTAGAGACAGCTCTGGAACTAATATGCTATATTATCTTAGACAAGTAACTTCATTTTTTTTAGTGCCATGCCTTTACTTATAAAATAAGATAAAATAAATAAAATTTAAAAATTTGTGCTTGATCCAGAGGTTACACACTGCTCCAGGCTAGATATGGTATGCAAATAAATGCATTTTGGCCCACTGTGGTTTTATTTTTCTAATTTGAATTAATTTTCAATGCTAAAAAGAATGTTCACATACAACTCTAGTTACCTGTATAGCTTCTTTTGAACAGTCACCCTATATTTTCCCACAGCAATCAGCAAGACCTGGATCACTGTTGCCCTTTTTGGTGGAGTCATACACTATAAATGAATCCTAAACAGCTCTGTTTATTTATGATTTGAGTTTATAAGTCCTGATCTACATGATTCTTTTTATTTTTACTTATTTATTTAATTTTTGAGACAGAGTCTCACTCCGTCACCCAAGCTGGAATGAAGTAGCAGATCTCACTTCAGTGCAACCTCTGCCTCCCAAGTTCAAGCAATTCTCATGCCTCAGCCTCCCAAGTAACTGGGACTACAGGCGCGTGCCACCACACCCGACTAATTTTGTAGTTTTGGTAGAGATGGGGTTTCACCATGTTGGCCAGGCTGGTCCCAAACTCCTGGCCTCAAGTGATCCACCCGCCTCGGCCTCCCAAAGTGCTGGGATTACAGGCATGAGGCACTGCACCCAGCCTCTACATGATTCTTTTTATGATTTGAATGTACTCCCAGGTTCATGAGTTGGAAACTTAAGCCCCAGTGCAACAGTTTTGAGAGGTAGGGCCTAATAAGAGGTGATTAGGTCATGAGCGTAGCACCCTAATTAATGGATTAACGTCATTATCTCAAGAGTGGGTTAATTATCTCCAGAGTGGGCTTTTTGTAAAA